>NC_000010.11:13040303-13191818 GCF_000001405.40 Homo sapiens | reverse complement strand
GATTCTAATGCTGGATGTAAAGAGTTGGACCCAGATACACCAAGAAATTTTAAAAAGCATACTAAGGTAAGACATAGCTAAAATCAATATGCTGTTTTTTTCCTTAAGGTCCTGCAAACCTGGCTTGATTCCTTTAGGTTAGACCGCGCCACTCACTAAGTACAGGTGATGACTGGATTCTTATTACTTAAGAGTATGAGCTGTATCCATTTTCAACCCTAAAGACTGCTTGCTTGCTTGCTTGCTTGCTTGCTTATTTATTTATTTTTGTGCATGAATAAGTTCTTAGTGGTGATTTCTGAGATTTTGGTGTACCCATCACCGGAGCAGTGTACCCTGTACCCAATGTGTAGTCTTTTATCCCTAAGGCTGCATAATTAAACTGGAGAAAGAAATTTCTTATGGAAAAACAAAGTTACCGAGTTTTTGCCGTGTTTCCTGGATGATCAAGTTTGTGCCCTTAACAACCAGATTACTCAGAGTGGTTTGAATCTTCTTCTTAGGAGCCACAGCTGCTGCACTGAAATGACAAGTCACCCCCAAAAGGAGAATCACTAAAGCCTCAATGCTCTGATGAGGTAAAGAAGGCATAGATATCATCATTTATTACACACACCGTCAAAGTTTCTCAAAACACCATCTAAGTAGGCTTTCTTAATGTTACGGCCCAATAGCATAACTGGTTTATGCACTGTGTCACAGAGGAAAAGCTAGAGGCAGCCTACAAATCCACTTGAGGCCATTCTGGAAGGAAATTTGGCAAAAGAAATAAAAAAAAAGCCAATGCTTTGATCCAGCAGTCTGGATATTTATCTTAAAATAATTAAGGATTATGCAAAAATTTAGGATATTAATGGCAGCTTTGTTTATAATGTCATACATTGGAAACACCATTAACGTTCACCCACAGGGAATTGTTTAAATGAATTAAGGCAGAGTATGCAAAAGAACACTATGTAGCCACTGAAAATACATGAGAAAAACATTAATTATTTTACACTGGAAAAAAAGTGGATACAAAGAATAGGAACAATATGATCTCATTTTATATTACTAAAAATGTACACATATGAAGAAACACAACACCTAGGAGTATATATACCAAGGAACTAACAGTTTGGGGTTTTTTTTTTGAGACAAGATCTCACTCTGTTGTCCAGCCTGGAGTACAGTGGAGCAATCCTGACTCACTGCAGCCTCAACTTCCCCAGGCTCAAGCAATTCTCCCATCTCAGCCTCCCAAACAGCTGGGACTACAGGCATGTGCCACCATGCCCAGCTAATTTTTTTTGCATTTTGTAGAGATGGGGTTTTGCCATGTCGCTCAGGCGGGTCTCAAATTCCTGGGCTTAAGCAATCCTCCTGCCTTGGCCTCCCGAAGTGCTGGGATTACAGGTGTAAGCCACTGTGCCTGGCCTAGAACTAACAGTTTTTCAGGTGATAGGATTATAGTTGGTTTTTATTTTCTCCATTGGTTGGATTGTATGTTCTTTTAAAAGACTAATATACATGTATTGTTTTAGCAGATTGGAAAAATTCAGAAATAATTTTAAATCTCAAAAACATGCTTACTGTTAAAAAAGAAACAGGAAATGAGTCCTCTTGCCCCATTCCTGCTGGATTGGGAACAAAAATCTATGTTTTATTCTTGGACCAACTGTAGCTGCCTCGTGCCAAGTCCTCAGATATGCTTTATATAATGTAGTGACGAGGCCACTGATTACAAGCTTATCCAAACCATAGCCTGCGGGCCACATGCAGCCCAGGATGGCTTTGAATGCGGCCCAACACAAATTCATAAACTTTCTTAAAACATTAAGAGATTTTTCTTTTCTTTTCTTTCTTTTTTTAAGCTTATAGGCTATCATTAATATATTTTATGTGTAGTCCAAGACAATTCTTCCAAAGGGGCCCAGGGAAGCCAAAAGATTGGACACCCCTGGATTACAGCGTCAGGGGCTGTAGTGACTCTGAACCCCCAGGCAAGGGGCCATGGATGCCTGCCCAGCATCGCCCCACTCCCCATGTGAAGCTTCATAGTATATTCACTCACTGAATGAAATTTGGGTTCCATGAGGTCTGTAGCCTCACTCATATAGTCATACGAGAAATAATTAAAAGGGTGTTAACACTGTAATTAACACATTTTTAATGGCCCTGATGAAGGTGCACTATTCACATTAGAAGTCAAAGAGGGGCTGGGAGCAGTGGCTCATGCCTGTAATCCCAGCACTTTGGGAGGCCGAGGCAGGCAGATCACCTGAGGTCAGGATTTCGAGACCAGCCTGGCCATCATGGTGAAACCCTGTCTGTACCAAAAATGCAAAAATTAGCTGGGCGTGGTGGCACGCGCCTGTAGTCCCAGCTACTCAGGAGGCTGAGGCAGAAGAATCACCTAAACCCAGGACTTGGAGGTTGCAGTGAGCTGAGACTGCACCACTGCACTCCAGCCTGGGTGATAGAGTAAGACTCCGTCTCAAAAAAAAAAAAAAAAGTTGAAGAGGAAGAGTGGGCTCTCTTAAAGTCCAACACAACATAAGTCAATCTCTCTCTCTCCTGAAAGTTTTTCTCTCTACCTGGGAATAAAAGCGGTCTTTAACCAACTTGTTTCAAGTAGTGAGTTATGAAAGATAAAACCTGTACAAGTATCCTATGACGGTTACAGGAAGGTACAACCAGTAGGTTTAGTCTTTGATAAGCAAAATCCTCTGCCCAAAAGAAGCCCGAGAACGTCTTACATTGAAGCTGCATACGAGGCAGAAGAAACCCCTCCGTAGTAAAAGCCATCTTGGCACAGCCGTTCTTTGAGGCTGGTGCCTCTGCGGGCAAACTTCTTTGGAATTCGTCCTCCAGAGAAGGTGGACTGCAGATCCGCACGCTTTGCGCTGAGCTTCTTGTACTGAGCCTGGACATGGTACTGACAGTACTCACAGTCACGCTGCAAAAGGCAGAGCAGTGGCATCAGGATGAGGGCAACAGGCTGGGAAACAGCAGTGAGCAGACACAGTTCCTTCTCCCCACTTCCCGGAACATGACGCATGCAGAGTCCTCCCTGCTGACCTCCACGACCGTTCCCAATGTGGAAGGGCTGCTCAGTCCCTGAGGGGAAGAAGTTCTTCCCTTCGAGTCCCCTGAAAGCACTGTTCTGGTGAAATACCCCTTGCCCTCTTTCTACAAAGGAAATCAGCTTTTAGGATGAACCTTGAAAACAAGTTAGGTGAAAGAAGTCAGACACACAAGGTCCTATGTTATTTAATATAGGACCTATGTTATTTAATATAAAAGGAAGTTTTTATAGAAGAGGCAAATCCATAGAGACAGAAAGCAGATTAGACGTCACCAGGAGACGGAGGGAGTGGGGATGGGAGTGATGACTTTATGGTGCCATTGTTTTTACAGGGTGATGGAATTCTGAAACCAGGGAGCTGGTGGTTACACAACTAAATATCACTGAATTATATATGTATTTTAAAATGATTAACTGTATATTGTGAATTTTGACCCAATAAAAAATAATTTAAAAACAAAATCAGCTCCCAGCGAGGTTTTTCTAGCTGTTTCTCTGGTTGATCCTCGGACAAGTGCTATCCTTTCAGTGAAAGAAACAAAGAGAGATGGTGCAGCATTGTTCTGCTGGGTGAACAGTAGTTACGGCGACAATGGATTTTTTTTTGGAGACAGAGTCTCGCTCTGTCACCCAGGCTGGAGTGCAGTGGCGTGATCCTGGCCCACTGCAACCTCCAACTCCTAGGTTCAAGTGATTCTTCTGCCTCAGCCTCCCAAGTAGCTGGGATTACAGGTGTGCACAACCACGCCCAGCTAATTTTTGTATTTTTACTGGAGACGGGGTTTTACCATGTTGGCCAGGCTGGTCTTGAACTCCTGGCCTCAAGTGATCGGCCCACTTCGGCCACCCAAAGTGCAGGGATTACAAGTGTGAGCCACCGCCCCATCCAGACAATGGATTTTTAAGAATCTAATTCTCACGGGGAGATCTGTTGGGTACTTCACTCTGAAACCTCATTTTCCAACCGTCTCCCACCTTATTCTTTCCTGTCCACCAATTAATCTAATAGGAAGGAATAAGGGAATAAAAAAAGATTAAACCAAAACCTGTCATTTAATCCTTTCAAAGAACTCTAAGAAGTACCTCTTCACACCTACTACAATGGCTATAACAAAAAAGAAATAGAGTAACAGGTGCTGATGAGGACAGGGAGAAACTGGAAAGTTCATCCATTGCTGGTGGGCCACTTGGGAAACCAGTCTGGCAGTTCCTCCAAACTCTGGACAGTTACCATGTTGACCCAGCAATCCCACTCCCAGGTATATGCCCAAGGGAGTGGAAAACATACATCCACATAAAAACTTGTATGTGAGTGTTTTAGCAGCATTATTCATAATAGCTAAATGTGGCAACAACCCAAGCGTGTATCAACTGATGAAAGAATAAACAACGTATGGTATATCCATACAATGGAATATTATTTACCCACAAAAAGGAATAAAGTGTTGATAAATGCTACAGCACGGATCAATTGTGAGAAAAATTATGCTAAGCAAAAGAAGCCAGACAGAAAAGGCCACATATTGTGATTCCATTATATGAAATGTCTAGAAGAGGCAAATCCATAGAGACAGAAAGTAGGTTAGTGCTTACCAGGGGCTGGGGGAGAGGAGACTGGGGAGTGATTGCTAGTGGGTACTGGGTTTCTTTCTGGGGCAATGAAAGGGTTCTGAAATTACACAGTGGTGATGGTTGCACAGCTCTGTGAATGTACTAGAAATTACTGAATTGTTGACTTTATTTATTTATATTCTTTTTTGGAGACAGAATCTCACTCTATCGCCCAGGCTGGAGTATAATAGTGCGATCTCAGCTCACTGAAACCTCTGCCTTCCAGGTTCAAGTGATTCTCTGGCCTCAGCCTCCTGAGTAGCTGGAACTACAGGCGCCCACCACCATGACCGCCTAATTTTTGTATTTTTAGTAGAGATGGGGTTTCACCATGGTGGCCAGGCTAGTCTCAAACTCCTGATCTCAGATGATCTGTCCGCCTCGACCTCCCGAAGTGCTGAGATTACAAGAGTGAGCCACCACACCTGGCCTGAATTGCTTACTTTAAAAGGGTGAATTGCATGGTATGTGAATTATACCTAAATGAAGCTATTATTTTTTAAAAAGCCCTAAGAAAAGGTATAATGGAGTTAAAATATAGGCTAAAATACAATTTTCATTGTATTTCATCATGTTTGCTCTGTGGAATTACAAGAATTAAAGGCAAACAAAAATTCTGTCTTAAACTTCTTGGTCAGATAAAAGATCACTTTCCTAAGAGGTTAAATCCCCTCACCTTTCCCCTGCCCTCACTTTTTTAAACTGGCAGTTATTAACCACACATTAAATTTTCTCATTTTGACTCTTCCTTTAAGTGGGAAACTCAGTTCCAAACTGGTCATCACAGCTAAAGCACCAACAGTTTATTCCTAACTGTTCTTTTCTTTAGCAGAAACCATCCTAACAAGGCTGAAACCAACCAAATTCACAGTCTGCGTGCACGGCTCTCCATTCTTCTTCTTGGCTTTACAGGTTCCCAGGTCAAGAGCTTCACCCATAATTAAGACCTTCTGAGGATGATCGATAGATAAACACACCTGTAAGAAAAGGTGGGGCAGGAGTTAAAGGCGGACAAAATTATGGCCTTTTATTAGCAGGAATAGAAAAAAGAATGGTTGGTGCTGATTTAAGAAGGTTATTGCCAGGCGCAGTGGCTCACACCTATAATCCTAGCACTCTGGGAGGCCGAGGCAGGTGGATCGCTTGAGGCCAAGAGTTTGAGACTAGCCTAGGCAATGTGGCAAAACCCTGTCTCTACAAAAAACCACAAAAATTAGCCAGGCATGGTAGTGCGTGCATGTAGTCCCAGTTACTTGGGGGGCTGAAGTGGGAGGATCACTAGAGCTTGGGAAGTCCAGGCTGAAATGAGCTGTGATCACACCACTGCACTCCAGCCTGGGCAACAGAGTGAGGCCGTCTCAAAAAGGAGAGAGGTTTTAGTGGTCTAAAGGAATTTGAAGCCAGGGCTCTATAACCGTTTTAGGAACAGGGATGCAGAAGGCACCTTCAGTTCTTTTCCCATTTTCCATCCTTTCCTTCATCTTTGCGATTGGAATCCTGATTTTCTCTAGGCTGGCTGACTTCTCAGCCTCAGGTCATAGATCCTGTTCCCTGTTCTCCCAGCACTCCTTAGAGCTAGCATTGGTTATGTGATAAGTTCTAGATGCTCAGACATAAACAGGAGTTGGTAGGGAAGCTTCTGCTTTCCTGACAAAATGAGTTAGGAGGCTGGCTCCCCCTTCCTCTTCACTTCTTGCCTTGAATGGAGATGACTGGAGGGAGACAAGTCCCTCAAGGGCCTTGCTGAACTCAGCTCTCTCCCTTCTTGTTTGCAATTCTCTTCTTGGACAGACTGTACCAAGAGGGACTGTCCTGAATAGCTCGGGCTTTGTCCTCACCCCTCCTAGGACAAGATCTCTTACAACACTTGAGCTCAATAAGCCAAGTAGCCTCCAGGTTATAAAACCCAGATCAGGGTGCTTTCATAATCCCTCCGCTGCAGGGTGAAGAGAGCCATGAGCAGACAGGACTCTGCCTGCCTGGAGTGCCTTGACTGAGTCTTGGTGGACTGGCTCAACCCAGATCCTAGGCTTCTGTGGAGTCTCGCTGCCTAAGGTGCTTTGCCCAATTTGTGTGTGCTTTGTCTCCCGGATGCATACTCCTGTAGGCAGGCTTGTGCAAAGCTGCTGGTAGCTTGGTTTATGCTGAACCACTGGCAGCTGGGTTTGTACAAAGCTTCCAGCCAGATCTGGGAACCTACCAGATCTGGAAATAGTAGAAATTGGCAAGGTGTTTAGAGCCCTCCCACAGGACTGGTAAACAGTGCATGGTATTCCTCTCCAAGAAACTGGCACCCTTCCACGGTATGCCAATTCACAGTGATGGCTAGAGTTTCAAAGGCATCTTGTGACCAGGAGAGAAAGGCTGAGACTCACAGAGATGTCACTCTTAAATCACTATAGTGTTTAAATCTGAATTTTTTTAATATGTAAGAAAAATAAGCCCCACTGTTTATTGTTGAAAAGAAACTATACTTAAGTTTGTTTGTTACTTGCAGCCAAACACATTCCTAACCAATAGAGGAAGATTTGTTGCCATTCTCTGGTGAAAGCAAGGAATGAGATAACATTTTTCTCACTTCTCTTGAAAATAATAATCTGACTACAACAGAGTAAAGCTCCATGCTGGGTCAGAGTAGAGAAACTGCCAGTTGCTATTCACACTGTGTCTAGATTTGCAATTTCCTAGAGAAGCAGTAGGTAGTGCCAAAACTCTAGTATTTGAGAAGATGAAAATTCACTTTGATTTTAAACTGCAGCTATGGTTGTCACAGTCAACGGAGCAAAATCCCCTCAACTATAAAACACTGCTTTCTTGATGCCACCATAAAAATTTATATAAGGAATCATGCTGGGCACGGTGGCTCACACTTGTAATCCTAGTACTTTGGGAGGCCGAGGCGGGTAGATCACTTGAGCCCAGGGGTTCGAGACAAACCTGGGCAACATAGTGAAACCCTGTCTCTACAAAAAACACAAAAATAGGCTGGGCGTGGTGGCTCATGGCTGTAATCCCAGCACTTTAAGAGGCTGAGGCAGGTGGATCACCTGAGGTCAGGAGTTCAAAACCAGCCTGGCCAACATGGTAAAACTCGTCTCTAATAAAAATGCAAAAAAAATTAGCTAGGCATGGTGGCACATGCCTGTAATCCCAGCTGCTGAGGGTGAGGCAGGAGAACCACTTGAACCTGGGAGGTATAGGTTGAAGTGAGTCAAGATCACGCCATTGCACTCCAGCCTAGGCAACAAGAGCGAAACTCCATCACATACACACAAAAAAACCACAAAAATTAGCAGAGCATGGTGGCATGCACCTGTAGTTCCAGCTACTCAGGAGGCAGAAGTGGAAGTATCACTTACGCCCAGGAGACGGAGTTTGCAATGAGTCAAGAACACATGACTGTACTCCAGCCCGGGCAACAGAGCAAGACTCACTTTCAAAAAAAAAAAGAAGGTATGAATCCAAGGAAACCTGAGTACAATAGTTCAAAAACTCCAGGAACTTTGTAACTAATTTGAAAAGATGGAATAAAAGTAGTTGTTACAAAACACTTTAGAATAGGTGGAAATTCAGAATACTGATGGGTAATGAATGAACAAAAAATGAAAAGCCAGATTCACGGAGACACAATCACATAAAAGCATGACTTATTTTCTGGAGGTAGACTAATACAAACTTTTTTCTTTTCTTGTCTTTTTTTTTGAGATGGGGTCTTACTTTGTTACCTAGGTTGGAGTGCAGTGGCACAATCAGGGCTCACTACAGCCTCAACCTCCCACCGCAGCCTCCTGAATAGATGGAACTACAGTTGTGTGCCCCCACTCACAGCCAGTTTTTACATTTTTTGTAGAGATGGGGTTCTCACTATGTTGCCCAGGCTGGTCTTGAACTCCTGGGCTCAAGTGATCCTCCCGCTTTGGCCTCCCCAAAGTGTTAGGATTACAGGTGTGAGCCACTGTGTGCTGCATCAAACATCTTTGATAAAACTCAGTTAACTTGTAAAGACAATCATCAATCAAATCCCAGAAACAGGCTCTTACCTCCTCTGAACCATCCTTGGGCTTCATGGGGTTGGCATTGAGGATCCCTACGACAGTCCCCTGCTCCGTCTTCCAGAGCGCTTTGTGAACTTCTCCAAATAAGAACAAGGACACACATTGTGTCAGGTCACGAAGATCATTCAGTTTCCATATGCTGAAGGTTTTTCCCTGGAACAAATAGTTATTTTTTATAATTTTGAACTGTAGGTTATGCCGTCCTCATTTATGATTCAAGAGTTTTACTATGGAAAACTATATGCCTATAATCCATAAAATCCAAGTTTTTTTGTTGTTATTCAAATATGTATCATCAGCATGTGTGATAACTTTAACCCATTCTCTAGGCTTTTGCATTCTATTACCCTTCTCATTTTAGAGATGAAAGTGAAATAAAGCAAGCCAGTGGCAAACTTGTTAGCAGAGTCTCTAGTTATCTCGGGTCTAAGCAGAGGGAGTGGGATAGCACTGCCTTTCTAATGACACAGAGACACACACACACATCATTAAAAGGACAGTGGAAGGTATGACAGTACCATTTAATAACTTACTGATATGAATCAATATTAGGTAAATGAGTAAATCTATTCCATATCATTGGTTAATTATATGATGATTATTATTTTTAGAGACAGAGTCTTGCTCTGTCATCCAGGTTGGAGTGCAGTGGTGCAATCATGTCCCGTTGCTCACTCCAACTCCTGGGCTCAAAGAATCCTCCATCCTCAGCCTCCCAAGCAGCTGGGACTACAGGCATGTGCTACCAGCCCCAGCTAATTTTTTTTTTCTTTTCATAGAGATGAGGTCTCACTATGTTGCCCAGACTGGTCATGAATTCCTGGGCTCAAGTGATCCTCCCACCCCATCCTCTCAAAGCGTTAGGGTTACAGACGTGAGCCACCAAGCCTAGCCTAAGTCTATTATTAATATGAAAAAAGAAGTTTCCTTTCTAGGCTATTACATCTCTGCTTAGCTTACAAAAGCATCATTTCAAGAAAACTGGTTGAGTTTAACCTTAACATTTCAGAAGTATGATTAAGTATCTGAAGAAATACAGCTCAAAATGCTGACCGATTATAATGTGAAAAACCTCCACTTTTACGGTTGTTTTTAAAACCAGAATACTGTGAATAATCTTGACTTGCACTATCTCACAGAGGCATCCCGGGCTGGGGATGGTTATGGGTTACAGCATGGAATCTACTGCCCGGACGCTGAGCTGGAATCCATCTTCCAGGGATTTGTGCAGTGCCTGTCTTGGAAGAGTTCAGATAAATTCTCGTGTCTATTATTATTATGTCATTACAGCCACTTATGAAGTAACTAAGAATTTGATCAAAGGAAAACCAGACCTGTCCACATTTACCTCAACAGTGACAGGGCTAGTGTAAGACCGGGTAATCTTTAATTTTTTAAAATTTTTTTAAGTTCTGGGGTACATGTGCAGGATGTGCAGGTTTGTTACATAGGTAAACGTGTGTCATGATGGTTTGCTGCACCTACTAACCCATCACATAGGTATAAAGCCTGCCATGCATTAGCTCTTTTCCCTAATGCTCTCCCCCTCCCTGCCCTCCACCAACAGGCCCCAGTGTGTGTTGTTCCCCTCCTTGTGTCCATGTGATCTCATTTATTTAGCTCCCACTTATAAGTGAGAACATGCAGCGTTTGGTTTTCTGTTCCTGCATTAGTTTGTGGAGGATAATGGCTTAGGACCAGGTACTCTTAAAATTCAACCCCATGTCAGCTCTAACGAAAAACCAAAGGTGGGCCAAGATCTAAATTAGAGAATAACATCATGATTGAGCATGATCAATCATAGCATTTTAGAGATAGGAGAGATTTTCAATCTAATCAAAGTCAGTTCCTTCATTTTATAAATAAGGAAATGGAAGCCGGTAAAGAAAGATTAACAGCCAACCTAAGGTAACATCGCTAGTTAAAGGCACAAGGCTTAGAAGACAGGCTATCTGACTTGCCAGGTCACAGAATAACTTTCCCATTTATGACTCAGTCAAAAGTGATTTTGAAACTTGTTAGATCTTTGGTAATAACCATCAAATTAAATATATCACACGGCACTGACACAGGCCAGCAATTTCAGCACTTTTGTGGTTGGTACTTTACATCTAAAGGGACCTCCAAAGAATCGGTGAGCTCAGCCTCTTTGGTTACTTGCGCCTCTCCTCCATGGGAGAGATCACAGTGTCACAGGGACAACCACATGTGTCACCCAAAACAATGACAAGTGAAATGCAGTAAGGATGATTTGGACAATGGAAAGCCCAAGAAACCTGTACCACCAGGTCTTATTTAAATAGGGCATCCTTTGCTTATACCCGCTGGATACCAACTCAATGATGTGTGGTGATTCTGGAACTTACTATACTTATTTCTAAATGAAACACCAACAGGTTCCAGTTAACAAATTCAGGACATCGAATTCCCACTGTCAGTTTGTAGTAAAACAGCTAAGAAACCAATACAATGGCTTACACTATTCACACTCTGTGGCGTAACCTTCTTCAATATAACCCCAAATGTCACCCAATCTATTTCTTCCAGCTTCTCTCTGGCCATCTTTTCCTTGATCTGAGACAGTCTGATCAGTTTTCGGCCGGTCATTTTCTTGTTCATTTCTGTGGAGGATACTCGAGGCCGCCTGGGTTAAGAAACCAGCGATTAGTAATTATGATTCTAATAAAGAAATTACCTGGCACCTTAGCAGGTGGTAAGGGAGTGTGATGGTCAGAAACCTCTACAGTACCTGTTCTTGGGAAGCTTAGTTATATAGTATGACCAAGGCATCCATTTTTATAGCAAATAAATAAATAATTCTTTTTTTTTTTTTTAAAGATGGAGTCTCACTCTGTTGCCCAGGCTGGAGTGCAGTGGCGCAATTTTGGCTCACTGCGGCCTCCGCCTCCCAGGTTCAAGTGATTCTCCTGCCTCAGCCTCCTGAGTAGCTGGGACTACAGGCATGTGCCATCATGTGCTAATGTTTGTATTTTTAGTAGAGATGGGGTTTTGCCATGTTGGCCAGGCTGGTCTCAAACTCCTGGCCTCAAGCGATCTGCTCGCCTCGGCCTCCCAAAGTGCGGGGATTACAGGTGTGAACCACTGCGCCTGGCCTCTAAGATAATTTTTAAAGCTAGGTTTGCCTTTCTTTGGATATAGATCTAGGGCTTATATAGAATACAAGAAAGATCGCAAATCCTTTAAGCTCTTAAATTATGCAAATTTTAATATTCTTCTGCAAACAATCTTTTTTACTTTATTACAAAACCATGAATTAATATTCATAAATAAGACACTTAAATTTCATCGATTATGCAAGAATTTCACAGGTTCTACTATTCTAATTGAATTTTTTTTAAAGACAACATTTTGACATACAATAAAGGCTTTTGAATGTAGCTTCAATTAATATATTCTTATTCCTAATGACTGAGTCAAAAAACTCTTAGGGTTATTAACATTTGTTTCATCTTTGATAGCGTTATATATTTGCAGACGAGAAAAGACACTAAGAGAAAAACATGGTTCTTCACTATTTCATGAGTCTTCTGGAACAGAAAGTCCCAGAGCTAAGTTTGAACAATGAAGAATATTCAGGAAGCAAAACACTGACTTCAGTGGGAAAATTCTTTCCTTTGGCTGATTTCTGTGATTGTAGTGTGATAGGCTCCCCCCGACCCCAAGTTACTTAAGGGTGTATGTCAGCTGCCTGAACCCTGAAGGCCAGGTAGGGGGCCACAGCCATGGTGTCCAGCCAAGGAGCAGATGTCCCTAAGAACCCAACCATTCTGGAGCATATCTGGGAACACACCAAGAAAAGAGCCTCATCACACATACACAGTAGGCAAACAGCTTAGGGGAGTCCTAGCTAGAGCAATCAGATGAGAAAGAAATAAAGGGCATCCAAATTGGAAAAGAAAAAGTCAAATTATCCCTGTTTGCAGATGATAATGATCTTATATTTGGAAAAACCTGAAGACTCCACCAAAAAACTATTAGCACTGATAAATAAATTCAATAAAGTTGCAGGATACAAAATCAATATTCAAAAATCAGTAGCATTTCTAGATGCCAACAACGAACAATCTGAAAAAGAAATCAAGAAAGTAATCCCATTTACAACTGCTCCAAATAAAACACCTAGGAATACACTTAACCAAAGAAGTGAAAGATCTCTACAATAAAAACTAAAAGACATTGATGCAAGAAATTAAAGAGGATACCAAATATGGAAAAATAGCCTATGTTGATGGATTTAAAGAATCAATGTTGTTCAACTGTCCATACAATCCAAAGCAATCTAGAGCGTCAATGCAATCTCCATCAAAGTACCAATGACAGTCTTCACAGAAACAGAAAAAACAACCCTAAAGGTATATGGAATCACAAAAGACCCAAAATAGCCAAAGCAATCCCGAGCAAAAAGAACAAAACTGGAGGAATCAGATTACCTGACTTCAAATTATACGAAAGCTATAGTAACCAAAACAGCATGGTACTGGCATAGAGAAACCAGAAACGAATCCATAAATCTGCAATGAACTCATTTTCAACAAAGGTGCAAAGAACATACATTGGGGAAAGGACAGTCTCTTCAACAAATGGTGCAGGGAAAACTGGATATCCATATGCAGGAGAATGAAACTAGATCCCTATCTCTCGCCATATACAAAAATCAACTCAAAATGTATTCAAGAGGCTGGGCACCGTGGCTCACGCCTGTAATCCCAGCACTTTGGGAGGCCGAGGCAGGTGGATCACCTGAGGTCAGGAGTTTGAGACCAGCCTGGCCAGCATGGCGGTTTCTACTAAAAATACAAAAATTAGCCAGGCACTGTGGTGCGTGCTTGTAGTCTGAGCTACTCGGGAGGCTGAGAGGCAAGAGAATCACTTGAACTCGGGAGGCAGAGGTTGCAGTGAGCTGAGATCACGATACTGTACTACAGCCAGGGAACAGAGCAAGACTGTCTCAAAAAAAAGATTAAAGACTTAAATCTAAGACCCAAAGCTATGAGATTACTAAAAGAAAACATTGGGGAAACTCTCTAGGACATTGGTCTTGGCTAAGATTTGTTGAGTAGTAACACGAAAGCACAGGTAACCAAAGCAAAAATAGACAAATAAGCAGATCTCCCAAACAATCTTGCTGCCATCCAGGGGTGCCTTACATATAAGTCCGAGTCATTCTTTGGCTTTTGGATCCTTCTCAGTTCTGAGGAAACTTTTTTTTTTTTTTGAGATAGGGTCTTGCTCTGTTGTCCAGGATGGAGCGCAGTGGCACAATCTTGGCCCGCTGCAGCCTTGACTTCCCCACTCAGCCTACCAAGCAGCTGGAACTAGAGGCGCATGTCACCACACCGGGCTAAATTTTGTTTCTGTAGAGATGGGGTTTTGTCCTGTTGCCCAGGCTGGTCTCAAACTCCTGAGCTCAAGCAATCTGCCACCCTCAGCCTCCCTAAGTGCTGGGATTACAGGTGTAAGCCACCATGCCCAGCTAGGGAAAGGTTCTTCTATACAGCCCAGGGTTTTTTCTGTAACAATGAGTTAATAGATTAAAAAAAAAAAAAAAAAAAAAAAGCTCCAAAATCTAAAACTTTTGAGCACAAACATGACACTCAAAGGAAATACTGCAGCATTTCAGATTTGGGATTTTCAGATTTGGGATGCTTAACTAGCAAGTCTATTAAATGTAAATATTCCAGAATCCAAAATCCAAAACAGTTCTGGTCCCAAGCATTTTGGATAAGGGACCCTCGACCTGTGTCGGGGAATTTCTATTAATATGTCCTTTAGAGTATTTTTAAGGCCTGAGGTTCACATTTAACAATGACAAAGAGACCCAAACAATTCTGTGATCCCTTAAATTTAAAAGCCACTCAGAAGCTTTTGCTGAGTAGTTTAAGTCTCTTCTATCTCAATTCTGATTCACATGTGCAATAAATGCCCACCAGCAGCAACATGGTTCATTACCCATAGGGAGCTTCAAGTGGGCCATGGCTGGGGCAGGCAGTAGCATCTCAGGTGGGGGCAATTCTCTACCTTGAGAAGGAAGCCTGCAGCCCCCTCAATGAGAACCACAGCTTCTACTGCTGTATTCTGTTTCTTAGAGTCTGTCTCAGATGTAATTAAGATATAAATACATTCTTCAGTTTTGGAGAATACCAACTCTTTACAAGACACTTCTTGTTTGTGGAAACAAGGTCTTGTTCTGTTGCCCAGGCTGGAGTGCAGTGGTATGATCATAGCTCACTGCAGTCTTGAACTCCTGGGCTCAAGCGAACTTCCTGCCTCAGCACCCCCAGGTAGCTAGGACTACAGGTGCACACCACTGTGTCCAGCTAATTTACTTTTTGTAGAGATGAGGTCTCACTATGTTACCCCAGCTAGTCTCGAGCTCCTGACTTCAAGCAATCCTCCTGCCTTGGCCTCCCAAAGTGTTGGGATAGCAGGTGTGAGCTACCACGCCCAGCCTTATAATACACTTTTATTGTATGTTGGCAACACTTGTTCTCCTCTGCTAATAATATATACTTTAAGAGCTTAGCAGTTTTAGTTGTTGGCTGATATTTACACTGACAAGGTTTCAGAGTTTTAGAGGGTTTCACTTGGTTCCTCAAATGGACTGTGCTAAAAGCAATCCAGTCTCACAGTAAGGAGTACTGTTCTGCCCTGGGATTATCCAGATGTAATGATGGAGATGCAATGGAGTAGTGATACAGAGTATAGATAATTAAAAAAATTAAAATAAAGTTAGAAAAAAGTCCAAGATTTGAATATAGCTTTTAATTGGATTGAGCTTGGAATATATTCCTATTATAACAGGCTATCTTAAATGTATCCCTATAACAGATGCAAAGAATATAAATTTGCCTTAAAAAGACTATTAGAAAGAAAAACAGCATAGCTATTTTTCTTAACATCAACTACAAGAATCAATAGAAATAGAAAAAATGATCCTAAAATTTATACAGAACCGCAAAAGACCCAGAAGAGCCAAAGCAATCCAGTAATTGCTTAATTGCATAAATATTATCCTGGTTAAACTGTCTGTGTATTTAAAAAGTCTAAATTATACCTCAATAGAGATGGAGAAAAATTTTAAAAATCTACTATTTCCATCTGTCAATTTCTGATTAAATATACTATCATTTGTCCATTTCTTTTTATAGATACAGATTCTTTGTTGATTACATACACAAGAAAAAGTCTTTCTTAAACATTTTATATGCAACTGTACTTAGTCAAACCTAGGGCTACTGCTAGTCTTCCAGTGGTGTTTTGTCCAGTTCAAGAGCTGCTGGTGTTTTGTGGATCCTGATGTATAAACACACTACTTCTAAAGGACTCCGAGAGGCACAAAAAGCTATGCCGTGGCGCACATGAATAGATGGTTTAGCTACTGACCTGAGCCGCAGACCAGAGAAGGCTTCCACACAGATGGGTTGAGTCGTTTCCCCAGAACTTCCTGGGGTCCCCACAATTTGACCTCTAGTTATCCCACTAGGTTTGTTCCGAGAAATCGTCTGTAGGGGTTGGGAGGGTGCACTTGTCATCCTTGAAGATGAGCTTTTGGGATCTAGAAAATTAACACAATTAATGAAAAGGCAACCACACTGATAATCACGAACGGAATTTGGAAATTTGTTTTTACGGATTTGTTCCTTTGAGATAGGGACTCACTGTGTCACCCAGGCAGGAGTGCAATGGTGGCGTGATCTGGGATCACTGCAACCTCCATCTCCTGGGTTTAAGCGATTTCTGAGTAGCTGGGAACACAGGTATGTGCCACCATGCTCGGCTAATTTTTGTATTTTTTGTAGAGACGGGTTTTGCCATGTTGCCCAGGCTGGTCTCAAACCCCTGAGCCCAAGCAATCCACCCACCTAGGCCTCCCAAAGTGCTGGGATTACAGGCGTGAGACATTGCACACGCACACAGTCCGAACTGTTCCTTTTTTTTTTTGAGATGGAGTTTCACTCTTGTTGCCCAGAGTGCAGTGGTGCGATCTCAGCTCACCACAACCTCCGCCTCCAGGGTTCAAGCAATTCTCCTGCCTCAGCCTCCCAAGTAGCTGGGATTACAGGCATGCGCCACCACGTCCGGCTAATTTTGTATTTTTAGTAGGGATGGGGTTTCTCCATGTTGGTCAGGCTGGTCTCGAACTCCCGACCTCAGGTGATCCGCCTGCCTCAGCCTCCTAAAGTGCTGGGATTACAGGCATGAACCACCGCCCCCGGCCAGGATTGTCCCTTTTTTAAAGCAACACATGCAATAATCAAATCTTGGGAACAAAGCATGCCCCACAAGACCATTTCTTGGACTTACAGTCCAATAGAACTTTCTCTGATGATAATAATGTTGTACATTGGTGCTGTCCAATAGGGTGCTAGCTACCAGACACATGTGACCATCAGTCACTTAAATGTGACCCTGTGCTTTTAAGGAAATACATTTCTAACTAAATTTAATCTAATTTTAACTTAAATATCCACAGGTGGCTAGTGGCTACTGTACTAGATAGTTCCACTCTATAATACTGATTCTCTATGCAATGATGTTTACTGAATATTCATCAAGATACAGAGCACTGGCGCAGATTATCAAAGGGAGGACAAGACCTCCTTCAGAATGAGTAATTAGTGGAGATTTATGTACAGTTCAAATTCTACTTTAAGAATCTGTAATCCCAGCACTTTGGGTGGCTGAAGTGGGCAGATCACTTCAGGTCAAGAGTTCAAGATCAGCCTGGCCCATCATGATGAAACCCTGTCTCTACTAAAAATACAACATTAGCTGGGCATGGTGGGGCATGCTACTCCAGAGGCTGAGGCAGGAGAATCACTTGAACCCAGAAGGTGGAGGTTGCAGTGAGCCCAGATCATCCCACTGCACTCCAACCTGGGTGACAGAGTGAGACTCTGTCTCAAAAAAAAAAAAAAAAAAAAAAAAAATCCAAAACTAGCTCCCCTTTTCTTCTTTCTTGTTTCATTTCATTCCATTCCATTTTATTTGTGGGACCAAGGAAAGTTAGGGGTCTGGTATTCTATTTACTATTGCTTCATTAAATATCCCTGATGGAGTTACTTTTCATATTTTAGAAGTGTTTGATAATTCTCCTGAAAGTCAGATGCTTGGGTATTTTCCTTAATAAAATATCACTCTCTCTTTCATAAGATTGTTGTTTGCCCTCAAAGGGACTTTGGATCACTGCTCTCACACTGGGGGCCAGGGTGACCCTAGAACTTTAGAACCTAGAGGCCAGGCCCATTCCCCACCCCTTAAAACCAAACTTTGGACATTACCTAATGCAACACCCTAGTAATGCCAAAGGTCCTGAGGGGATGGATGCTACTCCTGAATGGATATCTGAATATATAACTTGCTGTCAGATTAATGTGAACACTCAGGCGGAAGTAGTTCTCTACGACTGTGGCACAGACCCATGCTATTCAAAGGGGCTTTTCCAAACACGTGCAGCCAATAAAATGCTGTGTCCTCCAACCCATGTTTTATCAGGCCCATCTTGTCTTAGGTCTCCCGGCAATAAAAGAAAAGCAATACATAGGGCAGAAAGCCTTTTCACTGCTGTTTTGTGCATATACATGTGTGTGCTGAACTAGGACTGTATTTGAATACCATCCTCTACTAGTGGCAAAGAAGTCTTTTCCAGAAAACAGCCCTTTTGATTTGATACGACCTGGCTTCAAATAAAACTTGACCATTTTCTAAGGGAATAACCTCACAAGTCTAAAGCATGAGAACCTAACCAGTGGCTTTACTTACTACAGTCCAGGTAAAACTATGAGACTACAGAGCTAAAAAAAAAAATTCAACCTGTTAAGTACTTAGTAAATAGCTACTCTGTACCTAAGGATTTTCCTTTTCTCAGACAGGGTCTTACTCTGGAACAGGATGGAGTGCAGTGGTGTGATGACAGCTCACTCTAGCCTCAACCTCCTGAGCTCAAATGATCCTCCCACCTCAGCCTCTCAGGTAGCTGAGACTACAGGCAAGCAACACACCTGGCTAATTTTATTACTGTAGAGATAGGGTCTTGCTATACTACCCAGCCTGGCCTCAAACTCCTAGGATCAAGCAATCTTCCTGCCGCGTGCCTTGGCCCTAAGGATTTTCTAGGCACTTTGAGATGTAGACGAAGAACACAAAATATATCATGTGGCTTCCATTCCCAAGAAACTTTCTTTCTCAATGGGGACATAAGACAGACCAAAAGACACAGACACCCACACACACATGAACACCCCCACACACATAAACACATACAATAGTGCCAAGATACTGAGACCGCAAGTACTACACCTGGAGGTGAAGCCTTTGGTGTTCGAGCCACCCTCTTGGTTCTTGGTAGCGCAGGGACATCAAGCTCCGCAGAAAAGCATGTTGACTCCTGAATTCTCTGAACTCTCCTCTCCTTAAGAGGTGGCCGGGGAGACTTCTCTACTTAATCAAAAGTAAAATAAGTGAGTAAAAACCCATTCAGAAAGAGGTTCAAAGGGCTGTTTGGACAGGAGTTGGATGCAGAAATGATGTGATAATTTCTAATAAAATAAATGCACACGATTGCCAGAATGACAGTCTTCTTACCAGGGGATTTTTGCAGACGGGCTGGGCTTGCTGTCTGTTTAATTGTTGTTACTTTTAGCTGCTCTTGTAAGGCCTTCATTTGCTCTTGCAAATTCCTTAATTCCTCTAGGAAATGAAAATATGTTAATTTAAGAACCAGGCAGGAGAAAACGTTCTACATGACAAAAATGCGGGCAATATTTTTGTTGTCCACTCCCTGCCCCAATACCTTGAGACCCACAATATAATCACATACCCAAAGCTCATGATTAACTTTGGTACTTCAAAGAGGTCTCTTAGAGAAATACATATTTTATTTAAAGTAAACGAAGCACCCAATAATCAAACTAGTTATAAATCTTTACTATTAAGAGATATCAAATAAAATCCACAGTTAACAAGTTTTTAGGAGTTGAGAAATAATTATAGGCCAGGCATGGTGGCTCGTGCCTGTAATCACAGCATTTTGGGAGGCTGAGGCAGGAGGACGCAAGAGCCCAGCAGTTCGAGACCAGCATGGGCAACATAGGGAGATCCTGTATCTACAAAAAATAAAAAAAATAAAAAAAATTAGCTGGGCATGGTGGTGCATGCCTATGGTTCCAGCTACTAGGGAGGCTGTGGCAGGAAGATCACTTGAGCCTGGGAGGTGGAGGCTACAGTGAGCCAAGATTGCACCACTGTACTCCAGCCTGGGTGACACAGCAAGAATCTGTCTCGGAAAAAAAAAAAAATTATATTTACTTCATAAATTGGATATCATAACTAATATAATAAATGCTGGCTTCTGTATTAGAAGAAACAGCTAACCATTGAATTTTACTATAGCTTAAACATGTATGAGATGCCAGGAATGAGAAAAGAACATGTGTCAAAGCTTCTGTTCAGGAATGCTCTGCTCAAATAGATATGTGGCAGCTTTGCAACCTTGTCTCTGGCTCCACATCCACATACATCCCAAAGTGCTACTATTCCATAAGAAATATGAAAAGTTTCAGAGCCATTCCGTACAGGATCAAGTGCAGCTGGCTGACACTGATAGAGTCTATAGTTTGTGCTGAAATGCTGGCCCAAACATTTCATCTACCAACTCATATAATTTTCTTTCTTTTTTTCTTTTTTTACAAAGTCATTTATCTCTACCCTTGAATCAGCAGCTATTTTGATGACAACTATCAGATTGGTGGTCTTCATCCAACTTATCCGAAAGAAATAAGGAAGGCAAGTAGTTAGGGCACCTTGCAACTCTTCATTCGTTTTCTCTCGCCTGGGGGCAGGAGCAGGGAGGACCCTATTTTCAGTTGACTGTGATGCGGGAACTTCTTCTTCATCTGTTAAGTCCTCCATATCTCCAAAGAGAGTGGCCAGATTTTCCTTTTCGTCTCTTGTCTCTCCTGTTTCTCCATCATCAGCCTCTTCTGTATAAGATTCACCGTCGCCGTCGGCATCAAAGAGCTCATCAAATGCGTCGGGCTCGCCATTTTCCCGCGTCAAGAAGTTATTTTCTTCTGAATTACAATCCAAGGCTGACTCATTTTCTTCCAGCAGTGCGGTCAGCAGAGACAGATTGTCTTCCTCCTCTAGGGGAAAAGAAGAGAAAGGACAGAGAATAAGCACGGCTAATTCCAAACATTCAACTTTAGGCAATTTAAATGACCCCATGGGGGTAAGAGAAACTACCTAATGGGTACAATGCTCATTACCTGGGTGATGGGTTCAACCATACTCCAAACCTCAGCATCACA
This sequence comes from Homo sapiens, assembly GCF_000001405.40. Taxonomy (NCBI): domain Eukaryota; kingdom Metazoa; phylum Chordata; class Mammalia; order Primates; family Hominidae; genus Homo; species Homo sapiens. The sequence continues at coordinate 13,170,756 of NC_000010.11, read as the reverse complement.
CTATATATACATCTCTGTAACAAGCCTGAATCTAAAATGAAAGCTGAAACTAAAAAAACAAACAAACAAACAAACAAAAAAAACAAAAACCTACAGATGCACCATTTTGCCTGGTCTTTGTTCTCCTTGTCTCCATCTTTCTTGTCCCCAGGTGCTTCTTAGGGGACACTGGGCTAAGAAGGAGCCAATACTGCTTAGTGAGTAGAGTGGGCCAGCCACGGGGCCAAATGTCCTCAAGCATTCTACTCCAATCAATGAGACAGCTTCCCGCACACCGACTTCCATGAAATTCAACCAACAAGGGAATAATTTTAAAACACCAAACATAGATTTAGGCTTTAGATGTATATAATTCCTGACCTTCAAATTATTTGAGATTTAAAAAAAAAAAGATACAAACTATATAAAAAATACTAAGATCCCATCACCCAGAATTAGCCATCATTAACATTTTGTTGTTTGCTTCTTGCCTTTAACATTAAATAACACCTTCCAGATGAAGTCTGTCATGCCAAATCTTATCCCAACTCCTGACCACTGCCCCCACTTCCCATTGTAATCACTTTCATAATTTTGAGGCATCATTCCAGTCCATTCTTATGCTTTTACATAAATATATAGGCAGTCATAGTCAATCTATATTAGATGGTTTTAAAAATATTTACATAAATATTCCACACTGCATTACTCTGCATTCCAGGTTCATTCAACATTGCTTGTAAGATTAACCCAAATCAAAACATATAGTTCTAGCCAGGCGTGGTGGCTCACGCCTGTAATCCCAGCACTTGGGGAGGCCAAGGCAGGAGGATCACCTGACATCAGGAGCTCAAGACCAGCCTGGCCAAGAAAGTGAAACCCCGTCTCTACTAATAATACAAAAATTAGCTGGGCGTGGTGGCCCGTGCCTGTAATCCCAGCTATTCAGGAGGCTGAGGCAGAAGAATTGATGGAACCTGGGAGGTGGAGGTTGCAGTGAGCCGAGATCGCACCACTGCACTCCAGCCTGGGTGACAGGGCGAGACTCCATCTCAAAAACAAACAAAAAACCCCATATAGTTCTAGTTTCTTTCTTTTCGTTGCTATATTGTATCCTATAATAAGACTGTATCACACCTCATTAATCCATTTTCCAATAAAGGACAATATGGGCTATTTCTAATTTTTCCCCACTACTAAATACGCTGTAATCGTGTATCCGTCTTCTCGCACATGTGTTTCTTGGGAATATCTATCAGAAATGGAATTGCTGGATTGCTGGGTATCCACGTTTTCCAATTTTGCTAGATGCTGCCAAATTGTTCTCAAAGTGGATGCACTCTTGAAATGGCATAGTTCGTCTGGGGTAATACCTGAGGTTCGTTGTCTCATGCAAAGGAAATCAAGGATGCTGACACACAAGGAGTGAGGTTAAGTGCAGAGATTTAATAGGCAAAAGAAAGAGAAGAGCTCTCGGCAGCAGAGAGGTCCCAGAGAAATGGGTTGCCGCGTCCATGGCAAAATGCATGGGGTTTCATAGACGAGCTTGAGGACGCAATGTCTGATTTACACAGGACATAAAAGATTGGCTGGACTAGGTATGCCATTTGCATAGGGTGGAAAACCTGGCTGCCCCACCCTAATCTTTTATTATGCAGGTGGTTCTCTACCTGGCCAGCGCCATATTGTCTGTTTCTTTACTGTACACGTGGTTGACACAGAAAAAGGGCCGCCATGTTGAACACGCCTGGCCCCCAGGGAGCCTTTTCCTATTGGCACAGCTGCAGGTATTCATCCGTGCAAATTACTAGCTTGCTTTTCTATGTCCGCTTGATTTTTCTGGCTGGCCTTGTTAGAAATTACTTGGGGGCTGCTTTTTGCTAAAAGGGAAATTCTGCTGAGGACTCTGTTGCCCTTACTATCTCCCTAAATAATTGCTATCATCTGTATCACTCTCACTAGAGCTGTACACAAGGGCCACTTCTCCCCACCACCTCATCAATATCTGATGTGTCACTTAAATATTTTTTTGTCAATCTGATGGACGATTTAAAAAGGCATCTCACTGTTTTGATTTGCATTTCTTGGATTACTGGTGAGGTTAAGAATTGTTTGTTTATTTGCCAATCGGATTTCTTCTTTCTTGATTTATCTATTTTCTTTGCTCTTTTTTCCCCCCTATTTGGGCACTATTTGTTTATAAAATCAGAGGTATTCAATGGAAAAATATTAAGGATATCTGACCTACTCTCCTTGTCTGAAATTCAGGGGCTAGAGTATGAGAGGGTGAGGGGCTTGTTCAGGATCACATGGAGAAACAGATCAGTTCAGGAGCTGGGTTAATAAGGAATCTCTAGATCAGCAAACCAATATCCTTTCCACCACTCTACACTCCCTTACCAGAAGGAAAAAGCCAGTAGCCAAACTTCAGGCCTAGAATCTGATGATGGGGCCTAATGCTCAGTCAGAGGTTGTATAAGGATTAGCTTGAGTTGCTTAGTCCACAAAGACTCCAAGGCTGCACAGTGCAAGAGAGAAGAGGCCAGGCAGCCCCCTGTGCTCTGAGAATGTCACATGCCTGCAAGGAAGCAAAGAGGCCTCCACCATCTCTTGTTCCCGTCTGCCAAAGAGGGCACACCCCGGGAAGAGGCTCTGGCTCACACCACTGGGGGCCACAGGTGGAAAATGCTGCCTGGGGACCCCATACTATTCACTTTGAACCCTTCACAAGAGAACGAGGGCTAATCCCATGGTGCCTCACAACCCCGTTTACCTCAGTCACCACCAAAAATCATGTCTTCTCTGTATTACGCTGACTCAATCTCCCAGCCTCTTTGTTCTCAAACCCCTGGGATGTGAAATCTACTATCAGCACGTTTCTCGGATCCCCAGTGGCTCTTACAACAGAAATCTGGCTACCCCTGGAAGCCTCTTGAATGGAAAGCATTTAATTGTTCACACCTCACATGGCAATGTCTAGAATAGTGTTCGGCACGTATTAGGCATGCAACAAATACTTGTTGATCAACTTCAGGTTCCTGATGTCTTCTTTATCACTGTCACTTTGGAATGATTCAGTCTTTTTCCAGATCACAGCTCTCTGAAGTTCAAGACACCAGACGCTGGCATCAAGAACCCCTCATGGCACTGTCATGTGCTGATCATCATATGTGTATCATGCATGCCCCCCCCGGTCCTCCCCTCCATCTCTACTGTTATCACCCTCCTGGGGCACTTCAACCTCCGCAAGGATGATCCAGCCAACATCTTGGTCGCTGGGTTTCTCATCCACTCCCCATCTTAGCTACCCACTCCCATAGTAACTCCAACTCATCACAGCAAAGCACAACTGACCTCTGAACGTCCCTCTGTGATCCAACCTCCCATCCTTTCAGCCCGCTCACTCTAGTATTCACATCCAGCAGCTCTTCAGCTTCATCCACATGTCTAACCCATCAGCCTACCTACAATGTGTTTCCTGTCCATCACCCCCTGCCCCTAATGCCCTCCCTGTGGATCCATGTTCAACACCATCATCACTCACTGCCTTCTAAAGACTCAGCTCCCTGGCTGGTGAATGGTCCTGGAGAAAGACTCGCTACCATGCTGACTGGTCTTTTTTGTTTGTTTATTTATTTATTTATTTTTCAAGACAGGGTCACACAGGCTGGAGTGCAGTGTTGCAATCTTAGCTCACTATAGCCTCAAACTCCTGGGCTCAAGCGATCCTCTTGCCTTAGCCTCCCAAGCAGCAGGGACTAGAGGTGCACACCACCATGCCCAGCTTATTAAATATTTTTTTGTAGAAATGGGGTCTTGCCATGTTGCCCAGTCTCGTCTTGAACTCCTGGCCTCAAGCGATGCTCCTGCCTTGGCTTCCTAAAGTGCTGGGACTACAGGTATGATCAACAAGACCCTGCCTCAGTCTAACTTTAAATTTTTGCACACCCATAACAAACAAGCATTCAGCACTGCTTAAAGATTCCCACACTTCCTCAATTCATTCGCTTTCCCAGGCTCTGACCACTTCACACTGTCTCTCCTCAAACCTCCTATGCCCACTCCCCACTCTTTACTCTTAGCTGATGATATATATATATATATATATATATATATGTATGTATGTATTTTTTTTTTTTTTTGAGACAGAGTTTTGCTCTTGTTGCCCAGGCTGGAGTGCAATGGCACGATCTCGGCTCACTGCAACCTTCACCTCCCAGGTTCAAGTGATTCTCCTGCCTCAGCCTCCCGAGTAGCTGGGATTACAGGCATGTGCCACCACGCCCAGCTAATTTTGTATTTTCAGTAGAGATGGGGTTTCTCCATGTTGGTCAGGCTGGTCTCGAACTCCTGACCTCAGGTGATCCACCTGCCTTGGCCTTTCAACGTGCTGGGATTACAGGCGTGAGCCACAGCGCCCAGCCCTTGGCTTATATTTTACAGAAAAAATAGATGTAATCAGACTTCCTCATCCTTCACTCCCAACTCTGAACGTATCTTCTCTGCTTTCCCTCCTGGGACTAAGTATCTAGTGCTATTCACAGCCAATTCTTCCACTTACATTCTTACATTGGGTCCCACTTCTCAGCTTCTCAAAGACTTCATTCTACAATTACCACCTCTCTGGCTCCTGAATCCCCAGTTTCTCCCTCTCCTCTGAAGCACTCCTGTCAGCATACAAAGACATAGCAGTGTCTCCCATCTACTAACTACCCGTTTATTGTTTTGTTATCTTTCTCCCTCCACTAAAATATAAGCAGGAACATTGTTCAACAGTATATCCCAAGTACCATACAGTCTCCGATTTCCTCTACACCGGCCAAATTGTGAACCCATGCCAATCAAATGAGATTTTCTTACTAAATATTATGATTTCTTTTTCCTCTTTTTTTTTTTTTTTTTCAGATGGAGTCTTGCTCTGTCACCCAGGCTGGAGGTGCAGTAGTGGGATCTCGATGCAATGCAACCTCTGCCTCCCAGATTCAAGTGATCCTCCAGCCTCAGCCTCCTGAGTAGCTGGGATTACAGTCACATGCCACCACACCAGGTTAATTTTTGTAGTTTTAGTAGAAATGGGGTTTCACTATGTTAGCCGGGCTGGCCTCGAACTCCTGACCTCAGGTGATCCACCCACCTTGGCCTCCCAAAGTGCTGGGATTACAGGCATGAGCCACCGCACCCAGCCTAAACATTATGATTTCTTCTTTCTTGACCTATACTGTTTCCAGATAGATACTATGATTTCTTAGAGAACAGGTATCCATTCACCTCTTATTTTCATGTCAATCTGATAGCAAAAAGTGATGCTTTGTATTATATAACCTGCCCTGTAGGCAATTTGCCAATTTTAAGAAACAGGAAACTACCATGATAGCATCAGGCAATGAGTTTCACATAAGGAATAACCCCTTATCTGAGGGTTTATTTTCTGTGGTTTTGATTTTCCATGGTCACTGTGGTTGAGGACAGTACAATGGATATTTTGAGAGTGCAATAGATACTTTAGAGAGAGACCACATTCACATAACTTTTATTACAGTATATTGTCATAATTGTTCCATTTTATTATTGTTGTTCATCTCTCACTGTGCCTAATTCATAAATTATACTTTATCACACGTATGTATGTACAGGAAAAAACACAGCATGCCTAGGGTTTGGTACCATCCTGGGTTTCAGGCATCTGCTGGGAGTGTGGAAACACATCTCTCAGGGACAACGGGGGTCCACTGTGCATCACAGTGTGAGGAATTTCAAGTTTTGTTTTAAAGGGCAAAGTGTAATATGTTTGAATTTTTTAAAAAAACCCAGTTTCAGATTATGAGTTCAATTATGCAACTAGATCTCTTCACAACCAGCACAATCATTTTAATTTTTTAAAAATAGAAATGAGGTCTCACTCTATTGCCCAGGCTGGTCTTGAACTCTTGGGCTCAAGCAATCCTCCCACCCCGGCCTCCCAAAGTGTTGAGATCACAGGCGTGAGCCACTGCGTCCAGCCCAGCACAATCATTTTAGGTGATCGCTAATTAGTGCAACATCTCTTTTCTAGGTAAACATTTTGTACACATCCTTGCAAAATGAACAAAATTAGAAAGGATGATATTAATAAAAACTTAAGTCAGAGCTAGACTAATATCGCTTCAGCAGATTTCATTATCAAATGTAAACTCTGAAGTCAGACTGCCTGGTTCAAAGCCCTGCTATGCCAGCTTGAACTGTGACAAGTTACTAAACATCCCTGTTTTTCTGCCTATAAAATACGTTTGCCTGAGGACTGAATCAGTTAATTTCCACAAGGATCTTGGAGCAGTGCCTGGCCCACTGTACACCTACCAGCTATTGTAATTATGAAAGACAATCTCTGTTGCCAGAAGAAATCTCCCCTGATAAAAGCAAGTAACATTCAGTGACCTCTGTGAGATGTGAGATTGCTTCAGAACCACTAAGACAATACCTGAGGGCTGGGGAGCATTTTCACCATTTTACAGGTAGAATAAATAACAAGTCCATGGACAAAAGGTTAGTTTTCCTTGAAACAGAGTAACAGAAAACTGCCAGGTCTTACCATCCATGCTGTCAAGAGGACAGTTGTGACAGGAAACTTCGAAGGAGGCTCAGATGCCCAGATGAGCAATGTAGAATCTTGGCTGTGTGAAAGCAATATTAGAAATGTCACTTTCAATTCTTCTCTTTCTCTCACAACACACATCCAACAAACCCAGAATCCTACCACTCCTATGGGCTCTAACCTCAGAATTCATCCAGAATCTGACCATTTCTCACCTCCTCTCTCCACACCGCCAATGCCATCTCCTTCCTTGGATGTAGCAGCTCACTTTTACTTGTGTTTAAGGTTACAGAAAGTTATTGAGCTGCAGAGCAGTTTGTAAATCACACTAGATTACGTGGATGAGATAAATTATGAGGAAGAACTATTGGGGTTGGCTAGGTACAGTGGCTCAACGCCTGTAATACCAGCACTTTGGGAAGCTAAGGTGGGCGCATCACTTGAGGCCAGAAGTTTGAGACCAGCCTGGTCACATAGCAAGACCTTGTCTTTTTTAAAAATTACACACACACACACACAAATTATTGGGGTCGATCTACATTAGGCTATTCTTTCATTTTATTCACTGTAATACACCTGACATCTGCGTTATCCACGACAGCTTACTGTATGATTCTACTTAGGTGGAGCCTTAGTGACAATCAGGATTTTGATTCAATACTAGTCAGCAAAGCACAGAGAAACAGCGTAGCTAATTAAGACAAAGTTGTATCACTTTGTGCACTTCTCTTTTCATTTAAGGTTATTTTTTAAACTGCAAGTAAGAAAGTATACATTTTTCTAGGCTCTTATTTAACTTACATGTGCTCTTTGGCAAGTTCAATGTCAAGGAACTAATTACAGTGATTATGGTACTTTCTTTTCTTTTTTTAGACAGGATCTCGCTCTGTCGCTGGGGCTGGAGTGCAGTGGTGCTATTGGCTCACTACAACCTCCGCCTCCCAGGCTCCAGTGATTCTCCTGCCCCAGCCTCCCAAGTAGCTGGGATTACAAACGTGCACTACCACACCCGGCTAATTTTTGTGTTTTTTGTAGAGACAGGGTTTCGCCATGTTGCCCAGGCTGGTCTTGAACTCCTGATGTCAAGTGATCCATCAGCCTTGGACTCCCAAAGGTGCTTTTTTTTTTTTTTGAGACGGAGTCTCTGTCACCCAGGCTGGAGTGCAATGGGGCGATCTTGGCTCACTGCAAGCTCCGCCTCCCGGGTTCACGCCATTCTCCTGCCTCAGCCTCCCGAGTAGCTGGGACTACAGGCGCCCGCCACCACGCCCGGCTAATTTTTTGTATTTTTAGTAGAGATGGGGTTTCACCGTATTAGCCAGGATGGTCTCGATCTCCTGACCTGGTGATCCGTCCGCCTTGGCCTCCCAAAGCGCTGGGATTACAGGCGTGAGCCACCGCGCCTGGCCGCTTTTTAAAAATTCATTCAACCAACATTTCCACGGATCCCTCATGTGCCACACACTGTGCTATCTACTGGGGAACCTATTGGACAGTAAGCTTCCTGAGCGTTAGGAGCAAACTGTCTCGTTCAAGTCTGTAACCGGCCTTGCCTTCCCCCAAAATGAAACTGTGCACCCTCCCTCGCCCTCAAATCCACGGCCACTGACAAGTACTGTGGTCCCATCTCCAAAACACTGCTCAAATCTGCCACTTCTCTCCAACTTCACTGCCAGAACCCTAGGCCAAGCCACCGTCAACCTTTAACCCAATGACTGTGTTAGCTTTCTATGTTGGTCTCTTTGTCCCCGTGCAATCTGTTCTGCATACGACAGCCACGGTAATCTTCCCTTTCCTTAGTAACCTTTAGGAACATAAATCAGATCATGGGGGTCCCTTCATTGAAATTCTTTAATGATTTTCCATTGCCCTTAGAAAAAATCTACAAAGCCTGCGAGGCAATGATTCATATTCTCTCTCTCTTTCCAAGCTTTCTACTCCCTCACATTTTCCACAATCCACCACGTCCAATTCTACCCACCCCGACACCCATAACGATGCTCCAGCCGGGCCAGCCCGCTTCCACCTTCTGGAACACACTAAGCTGCTTTGAGGTCTCAGGCTCTGTCGAAGAAAGCTCCCCCCAGGTCCTTCTCGCCCTTCGGTCTCCACTTACTCATCTTTCTGAGACTTTCTGGACCACCCTGAGTCGTCCACTGTCGTGCATTTGTTTACTACCTGCTCGTGCCTTTAAACTGTAAGCGCTGTGAAGGCAGCGGAAATGTGATCCGAGCCATGCACACCGTCCGCATTCAATAATCATTGGCAAATCATGAATACGAGAAACCAATGAATGAATGAATGAATGAATGAATAAAAGAAAGCCCAGGCGGCAGGCACTTGGCAAGCACTTAAAAGGCTGCGTTTAAAAGGAAGAACCCGATTCCTTAGTAGACGGCCAGCAACTCCCAGCCCCCGGCCCGGCCATGCCAGCTCCGAGCGGTCCCAAGCTGCCGCCAAATCCAGATCGCGCCCACCCGAGCTCCCGGGACCCCGCGCCTCTAGCCTCGGACCCCTTGCAACCCGCGCAGAGACGTGCGAGGCGGCCCCGGCCCCGCCGCCCGAGGGTCACACGCACGCCCGGGGCCCGCGCTCCTCACCCGATGCCGGGACGCCTTCTTCGTTCACAGCTGAACCCGCCAAAATTCCAACCGGATCCCGCCCCTGCCTTGACGTCAGACGCACGCGGCTGTGGGGCAGCACTGACTGGCTACGCCAGCGAATCCCGGCCCTGGCACAGAGCAATCGGATTGGTTTACGTCATTGGACGCCCTCTTTGTTGGGGGCAAGGGACCTTCCTGTCGGTAGAAGCCAGTCTCCTTTAGGTAAAATAGAGTGTCTGGCGCCCCCTGGTGCCGGGAAGTTTAAGTCATCCCACCCAGTATTTTCCCTGCGGTCCCATCCCACCTCAACTCCTGACGCTCTGGGACCGACTGTTCCTTTGTCAGCCTTATGTCCATTCGAAATGTTTGGGCTCAGGACCAAACAGATCCGGTCCACTTTTACCCTGTCTGACCTTGGGGAAGTGACTTATCTCTCTGAGTTTCCCCTTCACCATCTGTGCAGTGAGGGAAAGGGTAGATGACATCTTTTACACTGAAACCACCATTTCCCGAGTAATTCCTGTTCCATAGATTTTGGGACTTCTAAGGGGCGTCAGGGCTGAAGAGAACTTATCAGCAGACCATATCTTTCACAGATTTTTTTTTCAGTAAAATTCAGGCCTCTTTATGTATTTACATTCTAAAAAATAGTGTTTGTACATAATACTAAGAACATAGTTTCTAAATGCAGAATAACATTTAGCTTTTACATAATTTCAAGGGATTGATAGCAGAAGAGACTTTGATGGACCAAATGGCCACTTTAAGTCTTTCCCCCCTTTTCCTCCTTGCAGACACTGTTCAGGCACTGCAGTTCCCCCACTAATAATCCCTTTGGTATAAGATCCTATCTCTATCCACTACGTACTTTCATTTTCAGAACAATTAAAATCGACTTTAGGAAGACTGAAGATAAACAGTCCTGATGCCATCTACGTTGACTTTTTTCTGTGTCCTAATGGAATATTACTGCTCCATTTATGAGCTCAGCCCTATTACTTAAACCTATATTGGCTCAGGAATAGGAATACAACCATTTCTGAGAGCTGCTAGTGTTAAAAATTCATAGTAATGGAGGAACTCTAGTAATCAAATTGAAAAAGTATGTTTAAATGCGTACTTTTAAACATACGGCACTAAGGCCGGGCACGGTGGCTCACCCCTGTAATCCCAGCACTTTGGGAGGCCGAGGTGGGTGGATCACGAGGTTAGGAGTTCGAGACCAGCCTGGCCAACATGGTGAAACCCCATCTCTACTAAAAACACACACAACACAAAAATTAGCTGGGCGTAGTGGTGCGCGTCTGTAATCCCAGCTACTTGGGAGGCTGAGGCGGAGAATCGCTTGAACCTGGGAGGTGGCGATTGCAGTGATGAGCCGAGATCTCGCCACTGCACTCCAGCCTGGCGACAGAGCCAGACTCTGTCTAAATAAATAAATAAATAAATAAATAAATAAATAAATAAATGCATCACTACATCTAGTTATTAAAAAAAAAAGATTCGTCATAGATTTATTCTTAGCCATTATGCAGAAATTCCTTGACTAATTCTGATCAGTACTCTGAAGTTCTTTTCTTCACCTTCACTTTCCAGGTCCTCTTTGCATCCAGTTCCGGGCAAGGAGTCAGAAACAGAACCAACCTAAGCCCGCAAACCTTCCTTAAGTGAAGAATCAAGCACTTTTTATTGGAATTAGTATAGTGGTGACTTTGAGAAAAGAAGTGGAGGTGATTTTGAGAAACAATTAGGCAAATAGATTTTTTAAAATCCATTGAATGTGGCTTTTCCGTGCCGATAGCGCTCACACAAACATTACGAAGTTTCCTAAAACCCGCCAGACTTTCTATAAGAAGTGTGGCAAGCACCAACCCCACAAAGTGACACTGTACACGAAGGAGAAGGATTCTCTGTATGCCCAGGGAAAGCGGCGTTATGACAGGAAGCAGAGTGGCTATCGTGGGCAAATTAAGCCGATTTTCCAGGAAAGGGCTAAAACTACAGAAAATTGTGCCAAGGCTTGAGTGCGTTGAGCCCAGCTGCAGCTCTAAGAGAGTGCTGGCTATTAAAATATGCTAGCATTTTGAACTGGGAGGAGGTAAGAAGAGAAACGGCCAAGTGATCCAGTTCTAAGTGTCATGTTTTCTTTTATTATGAAGACAATAAAATCTTGAGTTTATATTTTTAAAACATCCATTGAATGTGGAGATATTAGCGAGAAGGAAGCAGAGAGGGGATGGGGAGACAGGTTTAGGATGACTGTTAGGTTTCTGATTTATACAATAGGGTCGTTTTTGAGGTTGTGCACTGAAGTAGGAGACATAGGAAGAACGGAACAGGTTTAGGGGAGAAGATAGATTTAGTTTTCTATTTCAGAATGAGATGTATGAGAGATGCTGATTAAGAAAGGCACGGTAGCCAGCTTGATCTCCAGATCTGGGGTTCTAAGGAGAGGCCTGGACTCTCCTTAGAATACAAACGAAGGCCAAAAAAGAACAGCTCTGACAGTTATCAACATCTATCTAAAATGAAATCTAAAGCAAACAGCCCATATTGCAGTGGTCCTTAACCTTTTTTGGGCGGTAGGAGGATGTTTATCACAGACCCCTTTAATGTATTAAAAGTGGGCCGGGCACGGTGGCTCATGTCTGTAATCCCAGGACTTTGGGAGGCCGAAGCTGGCAGATCACCTGAGGTCAGGAGTTCGAGACCAGTCTGGCCAACATGGTGAAACCTCATCTCTACTAAAAAAAATGCAAAAATGAACCGGAAGTATTGGCGCATGCTTGTAATCCCAGCTACGCGGGAGGCTGAGGCAGTAGAATCGCTTGAACCCGGAAGACGGAGGTTGCAGTGGGCCGAGATCGGCCACTGCACTCCAGCCTAGGCAACAAGAGCAAAACTCCGCCTCAAAAAAACAAAAAACAAAAAAAAACACAAAAAGTCCAAGCCGAGCCCTTCCTGCTCCCTCTAGGAATCAAAATGGCGGCGAGGGAAAACTGGAGCAGTCCCGGAGCCTGAGCCACTGACAGGAGAGGAGAGGGCGGCGGCGGCGGTGGGAGGAGGATGGCGGCGGTGTGCTGGCGCCGGTGCCTGCCGCGGTGCTGGTGGCGGAGGCGGCGGGGGCGACGGCCGAGGTCCCTGCGGCAGCAGCAGCAGCGGCGGCGGGAGGAGCCTCCAGGTCGATTGAACTGTGGATGAGGAACCTACGGAATACGAAGGGCAGACTGTATAGTAAACACTTGAGGATGCTTGCTGTGTGGTTCTTACAGAATGCACTGTCCGTGTGTCTGGCTGCCCACAGCCTTTCATACTTCAATAGTATGCACTAAAGTAAGGTCTAATGGCCCTGTTCTCATAGAAATAGATGGAAAGAGGCTGCTGGATCCAGGGTTGAAGGTTCCTAATGGCCTCTAGGATTATACTCTGAAGAACCCGCAGACGGAATGCCTGAATGACTGAAGAAAATGGGTGCTAATGCATCTCATTATCCTCATCCATGTTCCGCGAAGGTAGGGGGAAATTCACAGGCCCAACAGACTTTTATAGGGACGTCATCCTATTCTCAGCAAGGCTATGGTTGTGAATCAAAATTGTATAGCCTTGACCATGGCCATGAGAAACCACAAGACAAAAAAAAGAGGCCGGGCACGGTGGCTCACGCCTGTAATCCCAGCACTTTGGGAGGCCGAGACGGGCGGATCACGACGTCAGGAGATCGAGACCATCCTGGCTAATATGGTGAAACCCTGTCTCTACTAAAAAATACAAAAAATTAGCCGGGCGTGGTGGCGGGCGCCTGTAGTCCCAGCTACTCGGGAGGCTGAGGCAGGAGAATGGCGGGAACCTGGGAGGCAGAGCTTGCAGTGAGCCGAGATCGAGCCACTGCACTCCAGCCTGGGCGACAAAGCCAGACTGTCTCAAAAAAAAAAAAAAAAAAAAAAAAAAAAAAAGACCTCTGGCCCTGCTACCTTCAAAAAGAACTTAATTAAGCCTCGAAAATCTGATAGGTCTGCCGATCATGCCAAGCAGATGCGAGAACTCCTCTCTGGGTGGGATATTAGAGATGTCAATGCATTAGCGGAGGAATATGAGGGAAGGTCAGCATTAAAGAAGCTTTCCCTACAAGCCAGTTTGGCTAGACCGGAAGCCCGGACATTGCAGAAAGATATGGCTGATCTTTATGAGTACAAGTATCGTACTGATACAGATTTCATATTTCAAGAAACTTGTTATCCTGTTCATCGTGCCATTTTGGCAGCAAGGTGTCCATTTTTTAAATGCTTTCTTCCTCACCTGAGTATGGGGCAGAGATAATAATGGACATCAATACAGCTGGTATTGATATGCCCATGTTTTCTGCTTTGTTATACTATCTTTATACAGGAGAGTTTGGAATGGAAGACTCAGGGTTTCAAAATGTCGTTATCCTTGTTCAGCTTAGTGAAGAATTCCCTTGATGTAGATATGCGTGGACTCTTTGATTACATGTGTTATTACGATGTCGTCCTTAGCTTTTCTTCAGACTCTGAACTGGTTGAAGCTTTTGGTGGACATCAGAACTGTTTAGATGAAGAGCTCAAAGCCCACAAGGCTGTTATTTCTGCACGGTCCCCATTTTTTCAAAATTTATTACAAAGGAGAATACCAACTGTTGAAGAAATCACAGATGGAACTTTGAGGACTCCCACAAGAATTATATTAGATGAGTCCATTATACCACAAAAATATGCAAAAGTGATATTACACTGTATGTATACCGACGCGGTGGACCTCTCTGTTTGGCACTGTAGCCCCTCTGTGGGGAGTCTCAGTGAAGTTCAGGCTCTCGTCGCAGGGAAGCCAAACATGACCAGGGCAGGAAAAGCCATGGAACTTTACCACACAGCACCGTTCTTGGAATTTAACATGCTTGCACAAGGTATGAAGTTCTGATTTTAAATTTTGATTTCTAGAATTATGTATTTATCTTCCAAACTGAAAATACAACTAGCATAGTCTATGATTTCAGTGTTTGGGATGTTACAGGGTCAGTTTTTTTGAACCTTCAGTTATGACATCTGAGACAGATTGAGCATCAGTATTAATGTGGTTCTTTACTATGAAAATCAAGCACTCAATACTATAAAATATTTTATATATCTATCTCTATATATATCTCTATCTATATCTATATATAGATAGATAAATTTATATATATCTATATATCTTTTTTATTTTATTATTATTATACTTTAAGTTTTAGGGTACATGTGCACAACGTGCAGGTTTGTTACATATGTACACATGTGCCATGTTGGTGTGCTGCACCCATTAACTCGTCATTTAGCATTAGGTATATCTCCTAATGCTATCCCTCCCCCGTCCCCCCTCCCCCAACCCCACAACATTCCTGGTGTGTGATGCTCCCCTTCCTGTGTCCATGTGTTCTCATTGTTCAATTCCCACCTATGAGTGAGAACATGTGGTGTTTGGTTTTTTGTCCTTGGGATAGTTTGCTGAGAATGATGGTTTCCAATTTCATCCATGTCCCTACAAAGGACATGATCTCATCATTTTTTATGGCTGCATAGTATTCCATGGTGTATATGTGCCACATTTTCTTAATCCAGACTATCGTTGTTGGACATTTAGGTTGGTTCCAAGTCTTTGCTATTGTGAATAGTGCCGCTATAAACATACGTGTACATGTGTCTTTATAGCAGCATGATTTATAATCCTTCAGGTATATACCCAGTAATGGGATGGCTGGGTCAAATGGTATTTCTAATTCTAGATCCCTGAGGAATCGCCACACTGACTTCCACAATGGTTGAACTAGTTTACAGTCCCACCAACAGTGTAAAAGTGTTCCTATTTCTCCACATCCTCTCCAACACCTGTTGTTTCATGACTTTTTAATGATTGCCATTCTAACTGGTGTGAGATGGTATCTCATTGTGGTTTTGATTTGCATTTCTCTGATGGCCAGTGATGATGAGCATTTTTTCATGTGTTTTTTGGCTGCATAAATGTCTTCTTTTGAGAAGTGTCTGTTCATATCCTTTGCCCACTTTTTGATGGGGTTGTTTGTTTTTTTCTTGTAAATTTGTTTGAGTTCATTGTAGATTCTGGATATTAGCCCTTTGTCAGATGAGTAGGTTGCAAAAATTTTCTCCCATTCTGTAGGTTGCCTGTTCACTCTGATGGTAGTTTCTTTTGCTGTGCAGAAGCTCTTTAGTTTAATTAGATCCCATTTGTCAATTTTGGCTTTTGTTGCCATTGCTTTTGGTGTTTTAGACATGAAGTCCTTGCCCATGCCTGTGTCCTGAATGGTATTGCCTAGGTTTTCTTCTAGGGTTTTTATGGTTTTAGGTCTAACATGTAAGTCTTTAATCCATCTTGAATTAATTTTTGTATAAGGTGTAAGGAAGGGATCCAGTTTCAGCTTTCTACATATGGCTAGCCAGTTTTCCCAGCACCATTTATTAAATAGGGAATCCTTTCCCCATTGCTTGCTTTTGTCAGGTTTGTCAAAGATCAGATAGTTGTAGATACGCGGCATTATTTCTGAGGGCTCTGTTCTGTTCCATTGGTCTATATCTCTGTTTTGGTACCAGTATCAGGCTGTTTTGGTTACTGTAGCCTTGTAGTATAGTTTGAAATCAGGTAGCGTGATGCCTCCAGCTTTGTTCTTTTGGCTTAGGATTGACTTGGTGATGCGGGCTCTTTTTTGGTTCCATATGAACTTTACAGTAGTTTTTTCCAATTCTGTGAAGAAAGTCATTGGTAGCTTGATGGGGATGGCATTGAATCTATAAATTACCTTGAGCAGTATGGCCATTTTCACGATATTGATTCTTCGTACCCATGAGCATGGAATGTTCTTCCATTTGTTTGTATCCTCTTTTATTTCATTGAGCAGTGGTTTGTAGTTCTCTTTGAAGAGGTCCTTCGCATCCCTTGTAAGTTGGATTCCTAGGTATTTTATTCTCTTTGAAGCAATTGTGAATGGGAGTTCACTCGTGATTTGGCTCTCTGTTTGTCTGTTATTGGTGTATAAGAATGCTTGTGATTTTTGTACATTGATTTTGTATCCTGAGACTTTGCTGAAGTTGCTTATCAGCTTGAGGAGATTTTGGGCTGAGACGATGGGTTTTCTAGATATACAATCATGTCATTTGCAAACAGGGACAATTTGACTTCCTCTTTTCCTAATTGAATACCCTTTATTTCTTTCTCCTGACTGATTGCCCTGGCCAGAACTTCCAACACTATTTTGAATAGGAGTAGTGAGAGAGGGCATCCCTGTCTTATGCCAGTTTTCAATGGGAATGCTTCCAGTTTTTGCCCATTCAGTATGATACTGGCTGTGGGTTTGTCATAAATAACTTATTATTTTGAGATACGTCCCATCAATACCTAGTTTATTGAGAGTTTTTAGCATGAAGGGCTGTTGAATTTTGTCGAAGGCCTTTTCTGCATGTATTGAGATAATCATGTGGTTTTTGTCTTTGGCTCCACTTATTCATCTGCCTAATGGGGACAGTAATAGTTATTTCATAGGCCATCATGAGGATTAGATGAGAAAAATTTGGAAATATGCAATAGTGTGCCTGGCACCTGTAAGCATTAAATGTGTGTTAATTTATGTTCTCATTGCTCCATCGGGCACTGTTTAGGGAGATTAAGCTAACAAAGGCAGGTGCTCAGGAACTGAAAACACAACAGACTGGAGGCAGAGAAAGGAAGAGACAAATGGAAAATGTATTGGGGAAAGCCTATCTGCTTTGGTAACTGACCAAAGGAAAGTTACCTTGGGTAGGAAAAGGAGAGGACAGTGGGCAGGTTGGCAATGCCCAGGAGACTGGCAGAACCATGGAAATAGATGAGGAGTCTGAAAGAGCAGCTTACTGTGGATCAGACGGGGATGATGAGTTCAGTCCCAGGCTGTGGTGTGGAGATTTCCTCCTTCAGGTTTGTGACTGAAGCCAGGGGGATCTGGGTTTCAAATGTAGGTCTGGGGAGTGGGTTTAGAGAACATTGCTGAGGCCGGTGCAGTGGCTCACGCCTGTAATCCCAGCACTTTGACAGGCCGAGGCGGGCAGATCGCTTGAGGTCAGGAGTTCAAGTCCAGTCTGGCTAACATGGTGAAACCCCATTTCTACTAAAAATACAAAAAATTAGCTGGGCGTGGTGGTATGCGCCTGTAGTCCCAGCTACTTGGGAGGCTGAGGCAGGAGAATCACTTGAACCTGGGAACTGAGACCGTGCCATTGCACTCCAGCTTGGGCAATAAAAGCGAAATTCCATCTCAAAAAAAAAGAGAACGTAGTTGAGTTCTCCAAGTAGACATTGCAGAGTATCTTTGAGTGTGTTTCCTTAGCTAAGGCACCAGATCGTGAAAACAATGATTCCATCATTAGGCCCAGCAGGAGGCAATGCTATTCAGAGCCAGGCCCACTGGGAGTAATAGCCTGGTTTCTGCAACACACCCCACTGCCACCATCTCTCCTAGGCCCGTTTATGTCTGACTTCACATCTTCCATGCTGGATGGTGCAGAAATCTCTAGAGTCTTATCCCAAACTTGAATTTGTCCAGCTGACTGGACAAACACCTATATCTCTGCTTAGAAATAAGTGGCCTTCTTGAGAAAGAAGAAAACCCAGCCTCTTTAATTTTCATAACAGAATATTGTCTTTCTTGCCCAAATAGATGTCTATTGCTCTTCAGCCAACCTGGAGTTTACTTCCATCAGTTACCCTGACTGATGTTTTGCAAAGGGAAGCCCATAAAGAGTCTAGTCACCCTTAGAGGCAACATGTTTCCTATTCAGATCTTTTAAAAGGCCAGACTCTCGGTTCATCTGTTCAGGATCAGAAAAAGACCTGGAAAGGGAAGGGGATTCTCTACAGAATATAAATTACCCCACAGGAGACAGCTTTGCAGGGCCACTTCAAAATATGTCAAAGAAATATATTTTGGGGTAAAATACTTAAGTTTCTGTCCAGGCCTGCTGTCATGTGATGCTATACTAGATTCAGGTTGGAATCTCGTATCTTATTGCTACAAAGAGTCTGTTTCATCGGTCATAAGATCTCTGCTTCCCATCATGGCCTAAACTAGTTTTTCAGGTTTACTTTGGAATCCAGTTGGCCAAGAGGAGGTTTCATCCAGCTGGTTGGGGGGCTTAGTATTTTATTTTTGGTTTATGACTTAAAAGCTGCAACTAGGCCAGACACAGTGGCTCCCGCCTGTAATCCCAGCACTTTGGGAGGCTGAGGCAGGTGGGTCACCTGAGGTCAAGAGTTTGAGACCAGCCTGACCAACATGGTGAAACCCTGTCTCTACTAAAAATACAAAAATTAGCTGGACATGGCCAGGCGCGGTGGCTCACGCCTGTAATCCCAGCACTTTGGGAGGCTGAGGTGGGTGGATCACGAGGTCAGGAGATCGATACCATCCTGGCTAACATGGTGAAACCCCGTTTCTACTAAAAATACAAAAAAAAAAAAGAAAAAAAGAAAAAAAATTAGCTGCACATGGTGGTGCATGCCTGTAATCCCAACTACTGAGGAGGCTGAGGCAGGAGAATCACTTGAACCTGGAAGGTGGAGGTTGCAGTGAGCTGAGATCGCGCCACTGCACTCCAGCCTGGGCGACAGAGAGAGACTCTGTCTCAAAAAAAAAAAAAATAAGCTGCAACTAGGTGTCATATCCATTTTCCCCCACTGAATTAATGATGGCATAATAAATTTAATATTTCATTAAAAATAATTCAAGTTAGCCCTTTCCTTATGGGTCACATGGAAGTGTTAACTAATATTTACAACAACCTTGATTTTCTGATGCAAACATAAATTTTAGGTGTGTTCATATTAAATAATCTTATAGTTCAAAGTTTTTTCATTTAAAAAAATAATAGACTTTATTTTTTTTAGAGCAGCTTCAGGATTACAGAGAAATCAGCTGGAAAGAACAGAGAGTCCCCAAATAGCCCCTTCCAAACACACAGTTTCCCTTCCTACTAACATCTGGCATTCATGTGGGACATTTGTTACAATTGATACATCAATATTGATACATTATTAGTAATGACAGTCCATAGTTCATTAGGGTTCACTCTTTATGTTGTACAGTTCTATGGGTTTTGACAATGGTGTCCACCATTACAGTATCCTACAGTGTAGTTTCACTGCCCTAAAAGTCTCCCATACTCTAACTCTTCACGCCTCCCTCCCCGCAATCCTTGGCAACCACTACCATCTCCATAGTTTTGCTTTTTGCATTGTCAGATGGTTGGAATCATACAGAAATCATACTTTTTCAGAATAGCTTCTTTCACTTAGCAATCTGCATTTTAAAAAGTGCAAGGAATTCCACCCCAAAATATGACTCCTTGGCATAATAAGCATTTTGAATTAAAAGTCCTTATAGATCGATAGGACTTGGAAGAGACTTTTCTCCTAGCTACACAAAGACCTGACAGATCCACCAAGAAGAACAATGGTTTTTTCCTGCCATGTTATTTCATTGTCTATTGCAGGAATGATGATCAAGAATGTAACCAGACTTGGCCCAACCTTTTTACAAAATAATGTCTGTCTCTCAGGCTCATTCATTTTCCAGAGAGAACCAATTACAAATCAGTCTCTGTTCCCCTATCTATTCATCCCCCTAAGTATCCACTCATTCTCTCTAGTAATCATTTACTGCCCCTCAACAGAATTACCCATACTCCCTATCCCCACCTCCCTTTTGGCATGAGGTTATGTAAGTCTTTGGGCCCCACTGGGATATTGGGTAATCACTCTGTGATTCTCTCCACATGCATGGTTAAATAAATTTGTATGCTTTTCCTTTATTTTTATTTATTTATTTATTTTATTTTATTTTTTGAGATGGAGTTTCACTCTTATTGCCCAGGCTGGAGTGCAATGGCGCGATCTTGGCTCACCGCAACCTCTGCCTCCCAGGTTCAAGCAATTCTCCTGCCTCAGCCTCCTGAATAGCTGGGATTACAGGCATGCGCCACCATGCCCGACTAATTTTGAATTTTTAGTAGAGACGGGGTTTCTCCATGTTGGTCAGGCTGGTCTCGAACTCCCGACATCAGGTGATCCGCCCACCTCGGCCTCCCAAAGTGCTGGGATTACAGGCGTAAGCCACCTCACCCGGCTTGCCTTTTATTAATCTGCTTTATGCTGAGTTGATTTTTTCAGCGAATCTTTCGAGGGCGAAGGGGAAGCTTTCCCTTCACCCCAACACATGTAAGTCTCCTCCATGTTTTCTCATGTCCTGCTAACTAATTTATTTTTATTGCTGAATAATATTCCTTTTTATGGATGCACTGTGGTTTGGTTATCCATTCACCTACTGAAGGACATCTTAGTTGCTTCCAAGTTTTGGCCAGTATGAATAAAGCTGCTATAAATA
The DNA here is from genome assembly GCF_000001405.40 of Homo sapiens. Taxonomy (NCBI): domain Eukaryota; kingdom Metazoa; phylum Chordata; class Mammalia; order Primates; family Hominidae; genus Homo; species Homo sapiens. The sequence continues at coordinate 13,150,187 of NC_000010.11, read as the reverse complement.
TTCATGTGCAGGTTTTGTGTGGACATAGTTTCCAACTGATTTCAGTGAATACCAAGGAGAATGATTGATGGATTATATGGTAAGAGTATGCTTGGTTTTTTTAAAGAAACTGCCAAATTTTCTTCTATAGTAGGTGGCTGTACCATTTTGCATATCCACCAGCAATAAATGAGAATTCCAGTTGCTCCACATCTTCATCATTTAGTCTTGTTGATGTTTTGAACTTTAGCCATTCTAATAGGTGTGTGGTGGTATCTTATTGTTGTTTTAATTAGCAATTCCCTAATGACATACGATGTTGAGCATCTTTGTCATATGCTTATTTTCCAACTGTACATCTTCTTTGGTGAGGTATCTGTTCAGATCTTTTGACCATTTTTATTTATTTTTTTGAGATAGGGTTTTGCTCTGTTGCCCAGGCTGGAGTGCAGTGGCAATTATAGCTCATGGCAACCTCAAATTCCTGGGCTCAAATGCTTCTCCCACCTCAGTCCAGAGTAGCTGGGACTACAGGCATGCACCACCACACCTTGCTAATTTTTTTATTTTTAGTAAAGATGGGGGTCTCCCTATGTTGCTCAGGCTGGTCTTGAACTCCTGGCCTGAAGTTTTCCTCCCATCTTGACCTCTCAAAGTACTAGGATTACAGGTGCGAGCCACTGTACCTGGCTGCACATTTTAAAATTGAGTTTTCTTACTGTTGAGTTTTAAGAATTATTTGTATACTTTGGATACCAGTCTTTTATTAGATATGTATCCTGTAAAGATTTTCACGTAGTCTGTGGCTTGTGCTAGTTTTTGTAAAAGATGCAAGGACTATGTCTAGGTTCTTTTTTATTTGTTTGCATGTGGATGTCCAGTTATGCCAGAAACATTTATTGAAAAGCCTTTCTCCACTGAATTGGATTTGCTCCTTTGTCAAAGATTAGTTGACTATATTCACGTGGGTCTGTTTCTCAGCTCTCAATTCTTGTCCACTGATCTATTTGCCTGTCCTTTTGGCAATGCCACACTGTCTTGATAACTGTAGCTTTATAGTAAGTCTTTAAGCCAGTGGTGTCACTTTCCCAAATTTATTTTCCTTCAATACTGTGTTGGCTATTTTAGGTCTCTTGCTTTTCCATATAAACTTTAGAATCAGTTTGTTGATACCCACAAAATAACTTGCTGAGATTTTGACTGGAATTACATTGAATCTATAGACCAAGCTGGAGGAACTGACATCTTGAATATATTGAGTCTTCCTATCTATGAACATGGAATATCTCTCCAGTTAATAGATTTTATTTGGTTTATTTATTTTCTTTTTTTTTTTTTGAGACAGAGTTTTGCTCTTGTTGCCCAGGCTGGAGTGCAGTGGTGCAATCTCGGCTCACTGCAACTTCCACCTCCTGGATTCAAGCGATTCTCCTGCCTCAGCCTCCCAAGTAGCTGGGATTACAAGCGCCTGCCACCATGCCCGGCTAATTTTTGTATATTTAGTAGAGACGGCGTTTCATCATGTTGGCCAGGCTGGTTTCCAACTCTTGACTTCAGGTGACCTGCCCGCCTCAGACTCCGAAAGTGCTGGGATTACAGGCATGAGTCACCACGCCCAGCCTATTTGATTTATTTCATCAGAGTTTTGTAGTTTTCCTCATACAGATCTTAAATGAATACTTTGGAATACCAAAGTGTTCCATTTTTTGGTGCTAATGTTAGTAGTACTATGTTTTTATATATCAAGGGGCAATGATTCATTGTTGGTATACTGGTATTGGTGATTTGTACCTTGTCTCTTTTTCTTAGTTAACCTGGCTAGAAGTTCATCAATTTTATTGATTTATTTCAGATAACCAGCTTCTGGTTTCTCTGTTGATTTCCTTGTTTGTTTCATTAATTTATGCTCTAATTTTTATTATTTCTTTTCTCCTGCTTATTTTGTTCTTTGCTATTCTTTCCTAGTTTCCTAGGTGGAAGCTTATATTACTGATTTTAGTCTTTCTTCTTTTCTATATATTCAATACTACAAATTTCCCTCAAAACACTGTTTTCTCTGAATCCCACACATTTTAATAGGTTATATTTTCATTTAGCTTACAATATTGCTTGAGACTTCTTCCTTAAACCATGTATTGTTTGTAGGTGTATATATATATATATATGTATATATATATATATATTTTTTTAGACAGACTCTTGCTCTGTTGCCCAGGCTGGAGTGCAGTGGTGCAATCTTGGCTCATTGCAACCTCTGCCTCCCAGGTTCAAGCAATTCTGCTGCTCAGCCTCCCAAGTAGCTGGGACTACAGGTGCACACCGCCACACCCAGCTAATTTTTTTTTGTATTTTAGTAGACAGGGTTTCACTGTGTTGTCCAGGCTGGTCTCAAACTCCTGAACTCAGGCAATCTGCCTGCTCAGCCTCCCAAAGTGCTAAGGATTACAGGTGTGAGCCACCATGCCCAGCCTATAGGTGTATTGTTTAATCTCCATGTATTTTTGGAGTTTCCAGCTCTCTTTCTGTTATTGATTTCTCATTTAATTACATTTTGATGTGACAGCATACTTTGATTTCCATTGTTTTAAATTTGTTAAGCTGCATTTTATGGCCCAGAATGTGGCCTATCTTGGTGAATATTCTATACGAGCATGAGAATAATGTAAATTCTGCTATATGCAGGGTATGAAGTATTCTATAGGTGTCAATTAGATCTAGTAGACTGATGGTGTTTAATATAGTTTGGATACCTGTCCCCTCCAAATTCCATGTTGAAATTTGATCCCTAGTGCTGGAGGTGGGGCCTAGTGGGAGTGTCTGGGTCATGGGGGTGGATCCCTCATCAATGGCTTGGTGCCATCCTCATGGTAAGGAGTTCTGACTCTAATAGTTTCTGGGAAAACTGATTGTTAAAAAGAGCCTGGCACCTAGCTCCCTTCTCTCCCTTCCTCTCACCATGCAATGCCTGCTCCCCTTTGCCTTCTGCCATGAGTGGAAGCAGCCTGAGGTCCTCATGGAAGCAGATGCTGGCTGGGCACAGTGGCTCACATCTATAATCCCAGCACTTTAGGAGGCTGCGGTAGGTGGATCACCTGCGATCAGGAGTTTGGGACCACCCATGGCGAAACTCCATCTCTACTAAAAATATAAAAATTAGCCAGGTGTGGTGGCGTGTGCCTGTAATCCCAGCTACTTGGGAGGCTGAGGCAGGAGAATTGCTTGAACCCAGGAGGTGGAGGTTTCAGTGAGTCGAGATCACACCACTGTACTCCTGCCTTGGCGACAGCGCAAGACTCTGTGTCAAAAAAAAAAGAAGCAGATGCTGATGCCATGCTTCTACAGTCTGCAGAAATGTGAGCCAAATAAACGTCTTTTCTTTGTAAATTACCCAGCCCCACACATTCCTTTATAGCAACACAAACTAAGACAGTGTTGTTCAGTTCAACTCTGTCCATACTGGTTTTCTGCCTCCTGTACTTGTGATATTACTCACAGAGGGGTTTTAAAGCCTCCAACTGTCAGTCTCCTCAAGCTGCCATAACAAAATACCATAGTCTGGGTGGCTCAAACAACAGGAATTTATTTTTCACAACTCTGGAGACTAGATATCAGAGATCAGGGTGTGGGCAGGGTCACACCCTGGGTGAGGGCTCTTTCCTTGGGTTGCAGATGGTTGCTTCTTGCTGTGTCCTCACATGGCTTTTCCTTGGTGCATGCACACAGAGAGGGAGGAAGGGAGGGCTCTCTGGTGTGTCTTCCTGTAAGGGCACTCACTCCATCATCAAGGCCCCACCCTCGTGACCTTACCTAAACATAATTAACTCTCAAATGTCCCATCTCCAAATATCATCACACTGGGGTTAGGGCTTCAACATATCAATTCTGGGGGAAACATTTTAGTCCATAATACCAACTATACTAGTGAATTCATCTATTTTTCCTTGCAGTTCTATCAATTTTTGCCTCATGCGTCTTGACATTCCATTGTTAGGTGCAAACACACTCAGGATTGTTGTGTCTTCTTGGAGAACTGACCCCTTTATCATTATGTAATGTCCCTCTTTATCCTTGGTAATTTTCTTTGCTCTGAGACGTCTTTGTCTGAAATTAATGTTATCTACTCCAGGTTTGTTTTGATTAGTGTTAGTATAACATATCTTCCTCCATCTTTTTAATTTATATATGTCTTTATATTAAAAGTGAGTTTCTTGTCAACGACTTATAGTTGGGTCTTGTTTTTTGTTTTTTGTTTTTTTTTTTTTGAGATGGAGTCTCACTCTGTTGCCCAGGCTGGAGTGCAGTGGCGTGATCTTGGCTAACCACAACCTCTGCCTCCCAAGTTCAAATGATTCTCCTGCCTTAGCCTCCCCAGTAGCTGGGACTGCAGGTGTGCACCACCATGCCTGGCTAATTTTTGTATTTTTAGTAGAGACAGGGTTTCACTATGTTGGCCAGGCTGGTCTTGAATTCCTGACCTCATGATCCACCTGCCTTGGCCTCCCAAATTGTTGGGATTACAGGCGTGAGCCACCGTGCCTGGCCTAGTCTTGTTTCATTTATTTATTTTTTTTAAATCCACTCTAACAGTCTCTTTTAATTGGTATCTTTAGACTACTGATATTTAAAGTTACTGTTGATATAACTGGAATAATGTCTACCATGTTTATTGTTTTCTATTTGTTGCCTTTAATCTTTTTTACTGTCTTCCACTGTATTTCTGCCTTTTATGGTTTCAACTGAGAATTTTATATAATTTTCTCTCCTCTCTTAGCATATCAATCATACTAATACATATCAGTTTCCTTCACTCTGAATAACTCCTTTTAACATTTCTTGGAAGGGAAGAACTAATGGCACCAAATCCTCTTAATTACGGTTTGAAAAAGTCTATTCCTCCATCACCTTTGAAGGATTATGTCCATATATAGAGAATTCTAAATTGGTGGTTGTTCTCGCTCAACACTTATTTCATTTTATTCTCTTCTTGCTTGCGTGGTTTCTGAACATAGGTCTGATAGTTCTTATCCTTGCTCCTCTCTCCAGGTAAGGTTTTTTCCCCTCTCTGGCTTCTTTCAAGATTTTCTGTCTTTGCTTTTCTATAGTTTGAATATGATATGCCTAGGTATAGATTTTGTCTTGTATTTATCATGCTTGGTATTCTCTGAGCTTCCTGGATCTGTGGATTGCTGTCTGTCATTAATTTTTGAAAATTCTCAGCCATTATTACTTCAAATACTTCCTTCGTTTTCTTCTCTTTCTTCTCCTTCTGATATTTCCATTATATGCATAACTTTTATAATTAACCCACGGTTCCTGAATATTCTGCTCCTTTCGTTCATTCTTCTCTGTGCATTTCAGTTTTAGAAGTTTCTACTGACATTTCTTCAAGCTCACCGATTCTTTCCTTGGCCATGTCCAGTCTATTGATGAGCGCACTGGAGACACTCTTCATTCCCATCAATGTTTTGTTTTCTAGTATTTCTTTTTTATTCTTTCTTAAAATTTCCATCTCTGGTTATGTTACCCATCTTTTCCTTGCATTTTAAACACTTTTCCCATTAGAACCCTTAGGAGTATACATCATAGTTATTTTAAATACCCAGTCTCATAGCTGTCATAACTGAGTCTGGTTCTGATGCTTGGTCTATCTTTTCAAATGGTGTGGAATGTTTTTGTCTTTGTGATGCCTTACAATATTTGTTGAAAGCCTGGCAAGATACACTGGTTAAAAGGAATGTAAGTAAACAGGCCTTCAGTGTGAGGTTTTACATTTATTTGGCCGGGAGTTAGGATGTGTTTACTATTTGCTTTTTCCACAAGTATCAGAGGCTAAAATTTCCTCTGAAGTTATTGTTTTTGTTTCCCTTGTTGTTTTGGGTTTCCATACAGGTATCTTCTTAAATAAGATCTGAGACACACAGTTTTTTCATTTGTAACTCTATTATTATACAGGGGCCCTACTGATGTGATGGTAAGGTGTAGAGGGGAGGAGAAACATTCTACAATCCTGTGATAAGTAAGGTCTCAGTCTTTTAGTGAGCCTGTGCCTCCAGGCTGTGACCTTTTAACAGTACATCTTAGGTTTCTCCCCACTCCCTCTCAGGTGACAGGAGGAAGCCTCTGCAGGGCTGGGTTGGATATTTCCCTTCCTCCAGGTCAACAGGGTTTGATAAAACAATATCTCACAACAGTAGGCCTTTTTAAGAGAACAGAATGCTCTGGCATATTTCCAAATGGCTACTCCCACCCAGATGCATGAGGGGATTTTTCTCCAGTCTTCACTTAAGAATCTGGCAGGACTCCTGGAGGTAAAAATCACAAAAGTGTAAGAGTTCTTCTAAGACTTGGCCCTCCAGGAGTTTCTAACTCTCAAGCTTGTCCACACGGAACTTCCAGCCATTCACCAATTAAGCTAGCTTAAGTTTTTCTACCATGGCACTGGCTCCAGTGGTGGTTTCTGCTTCTGAGCTTCGGATCTGGTATCCTGCAACTCTCTGTATTATCCTGTCTTTCCAATTCTGGGGATAGTGGTTTGCCCTGCAAGCTCAATTCACTGACAGACTTAAAAATGAATTGTTGATATGCAATTTGTGCAGCTTTTTTCTTGGTATGAGAACAGGAATGATGACTTCTCAGCTCCTCACTTAGACTGAGTCAAAGTTATTTTCAAATATAAAAGTTTAAGATAATATTTTAAAATAATTGTGTTAAATTTTTCTTTCTTTCTTTTTTTTTTTTTTTTTTTTTTTTTTGAGACAGAGTCTGCTGCCTTCCAGTCTAGGCTGGAATGCAGTGATGCAATCTTGGCTCTCAGCTCACTGAAACCTCCACTAGCTGGGTTCAAGTGATCCTTCCACCTCAGCCTCCCAAGTAGCTGGGATTACAAGTGTGCACCACCATACCTGGCTAATTTTTGTGTTTTTAGTAGAGACAGGGTTTCACCATGTTGGCCAGGCTCGACTCAAACACCTGACTTCAAGTGATCCGCCTGCCTCCGCCTCCCAAAGTGCTGGGATTACAGGCATAAGCCTCTGTGCCTGGCTGTAACTCAGGTAAATTTTCATTGGCTCATTCATATTTCCCAGTTCCCAATCTTTCTATTGCTCCTATTTAACAAGACTTCAAGAATATGTACGACATGGACAGGGGGTAGGGAAGGAAGATGGTGGCACCCAACAGCCAGTGAGGAGAGAGGGACATGGGGATCTGAGGAGTGGCCAGTCTCTTGTGTTATGGCCATATCCATTCACATGCTCTCCTCACACCTCCTGACAGGTTGGGTAGGAGGATGTGTCTGGTATCTCAGAAGAAGAGCCATGCAGGAATCCCCTCACAAGTTCATGCATCTTTTTAGGAATGCCAATAAGAAGTGGATTACATTTCAGCACTTTAGCTTCCTCAAATGCAGATATGTCACACAGCTGAACAGAAGCTTCAACCAGCAAGTAGAACCAAGGCCAGAACCAGTGGCATCTCCTTGCCTTGCAAAAACGTCTTAGGGTCAAGCAAAACCAGAAATACATTAGATAAGACCTCTTCCAGCTCCTAGCCTATCTTCATCCAGAAAGCCAAATGAAAAGGAATTGACACAACTAGAGTGGGCCTCAGTAATTATAGTTTCTTTTTCTTTTTTTTGAGACAGAGTTTTGCTCTGTCACCTAGGCTGGAGTGCAGTGGCACGATCTCAGTTCACTGCACCTCCGTCTCCTGAGTTCAAGCGATTCACCTGCCTCAGCCTCCCGAATAGCTGGGATTACAGGCGTGCACCACCACGCTCAGCTAATTTTTGTATTTTTAGTAGAGACGGGGATTTCACCATATTGGCTGGGCTGGTCTTGAACCCCTGACCTCAGGTGATCCACCCACCTCGGCCTCCCAAAGTGCTGGGATTACAGGTGTGAGCCACCGCACCTGGCCTAGTTTCAATAGATGTAGCAAAAGAGACAAAAAAGAAAAGCAATGGAAAGAGATGAAGGTGCATGTGGATGATTTGCAAGGAATTTTGACTTGACTACCCAAAATCACAAACAGGTACTTTGTTTTTCTGATATAGTTAGATAGTTGAAATCTTACTTTTAGTTAAACAAAAAGCTAATTTTATTGACTGCCCTGAAAGGAAAAATTTGGAACTGCAGTTCCTCTCAGTAATTTTCCTCTCTTTAATTTAATTGGGATTTGAAATCGAAGTTTCTGAAATCTATTTATACAGAATTGCAAATAATATTGCATTATAAGTATCAGACTAAAAATCGTCTCCTTTTCATTTCCAGTTAACGTTGAATGTTTATCCTTTAAACAGAAATGTTTATCCTTTAAAAAAAAAAAAGTATACAGCATGGCAGCATTTACAAAAGGGAGATGGCAGAACAGGAAGCCCCAGGCCCTCCTTCCCCGCCGGGAAGGCACTGGTTCAACAATACATGGATGAATTCCCTTTGTGAGAAGTCAAGAAAATAGTTAACAGGCTCCTCCACTCCAGATGGGCATGAAACCAGCCATGTAGGAGAACCTGTGGCATACCCTTGCCATAGTACCTCCTGTGGCTCAGTGTGGCACAATCAGGAGAAAGCTCCCAGCTCCTGACCTCTCCCTGGGGAGGCAAAGAGAAGACTAATACCTATGCCCAATGTGCAGACTTTTCAGGGGGCTGCCTGAGGGATTAGTTTCTCTCTTGCCTGAATTTAGGAACTGACTGAAAAGGGTATCAGTCTAGGGACCACTCAGAACAAAAGAGGAGACTGGGATTGGCATGTACTCTGTCACCATACCCATTGCCCCAGCTCAGTGTGAAACAAGTGGGAGAAAACACCTGGCTCTTGCCTTTCCCTGGGGAGGGAGAGAGTTGGAGCCTGAATCCAATTTCCAGTTTTTCAGGGGGCTTCCCAGGGGACTGTTTCTCTTGTCTTGAGCATTGAAAGGCTTGATATACCATAGATGCCTGGGGACTACTGAGAACAAAAGCATGGCAGCTTGCTGCTGCTGTAGAGGATCTGCAGTCCAACAGAGGCCAATACATCTTGGCGGCCTCTCCTATACAGGGGAAAAGAGAAGAGCAAAGTGTGTCCAACATTCTGCCCTTTTGGGAGGCTGTCTGAGGGACTCGTTTCTGCTTTGTCTTGGAGTGCTGATGGAACACAGCATACTCTAGATGCCTGGAGGACACTGGGAAAGAGAGAGAGCTGGGTGACCTGACCTGCTACTGCTCCAGGACTCATGGTGCAGCATACAGAGGTTAATACAGCTCAGCCAGCCTCTCCCTTGTGGAGGGAAAGAGACTAGTGGAGTGTGTTTCAAATGTTCTGGCTTTTAAGGGGCTGCCCAGGGAACTGGTTCTATCTCGCCCAACTTAAAGAGTTTTGACAGAACCCAGAATGCTCTAGAGAGAGACCTAGAGGCTGCTGAGAATAAGATAAGGAGTGCTGGATGGCTTGTGGCAGCTCCAGGGAATATGCAGGGCTGCAGGCAGACACTGGAAGGAACAAGAGGCTGCAGATTGTGAAAAACGAGACTAGCAAATCTAATTGAACATTTGCATGCACAGGTCTGGGGGGATGTATCTATGGAAGAGGTCTGGGAGATCTCAGAATCTCTAGCCAAGATGATTGGAAAAGATCTTTCCCTGTATGAAGCCAGTCCTTAAAGACTGGAAGACAGAGTTGTTTTTCAAATACATGGATCCCGACACAAAATCACAAGACACATGAAGAAACATATGAAAATATGGCCCAAAGAGGCAAATGAAATCTCTAGAGACTGACCCCAAGAACTAGAGGTATATGACTTACCTGAAAAAAAATTCAAAAGATGTTCAGTGAGCTCAGGAAAACGATGTATGAACAAAATGAGAATATCAACAGAGAGAGTATAAAAAAGAACCAAACAGAAATGTTGGCAGTGAAGAATAAAATAAATTGAAAAATTTATTAGAGGGGTTCAACAGCAGATTTGATAAAGCAGAAGAAAGAATGAACTCAGAGGTTATTTGAAATTATCCAGTCAGTGGATCAAAAAGGGAAAATAATTTTAAAATGATGAAAGTCTAAGGAACTTCTGGGACACCATTAAGTGGACCAATATAAACACTATGGGAATTTAAGAAGAAATACAAAAAGGGACAGAAAGCTTCTTTAAAAAAAATAATGGCTCAAAATTTCCCAAATCTGGGGTAGAAAATAGACATCCAGATTCGAGAATTCCAAAGGACTCCAACTAGAATGAACCCAAAGACATCCACATTGAGTCATTTTAAAATCAAAAAGCAACTTGTCATGAACAAGAGATCCTTCATAAAACAGTGGATTTCATAGCAGAAACCTTGCCAGATGGCCAGAAGGGACTGACATAATATATTCACAGTGCAGAAGGGGACAAACTGCCAAATAAGACATACTATGTCCAGCCAAACTGTCCTTCAAAAATGAAAGAGAAATAAAGACCTTCCTAGGCAAATATAAGCTCAGGGAGTTCATCACCGCTTGATTTATTTTCAAGGGTTGAAAGGGATTCCTCTCACACCAATAATCCTAGCACTTTGGGAGGCTGAGGCGGGAGGACTGCTTGAGCCTAGAAATTTGAGACTAGCCTGAGAAACACAGTGAGAATCCATTTCTACATAAATTTTTTTAAAAAATAGCCTGTGGTGTCCCTGTGGTGCCAGCTACTCAGGAGGCTGACGGTTTATAAGAAACCTATTATTGCAGTAGCAAATAGCCCGGCCATTGGGCTAGGGGCACCCATGCTGCCTCTCTGTGATATGGATTGGGTTAATGAAGAGGCTTAGTTTCAAATGCCTTATACCACCCTCGAGCAGAGTCCCCATGGCTCTTCTACCTTATGTCTCCCAGGGTAACATGAGAGCATCGGCAAATGGAACGGTGCTCAGCAGGTGGAGGCACGGGACTGGGGCGGGGGGTGGGGTGGGGAATGGGGGGTAAATGAGTAGCAAAGGCCTGGTTTCCCAGGTGCTTTTGCCTGAAACCTTCATCCAGGAAGTTATGGTTTGAATGAGGGAGGTATGTTAAATGAAATAAGCCAGTTACAGAAGGAAAAATACTATGTAATCCCACTTATAGGAGGTATGTGAAACTCAGAAGCAGAAAGGAGAGTGGTGGTTGCCGGGGACTGGGGAGGGGAGAATGGGGGCTGCAGTTGAATGGGTGTAGAGTTTCATTCACGCAGGATGAAAAAGTTCTAGAGATCTGCTCTACAACAATGTGCACACAGTTAACAATACTATCCAGGATAGTCGTAAACCTGTTAAGAGTGCAATCTTCAACTATGTATTTTTACAGACACAAAATTCCTAGGAGGTATAGTTAACTGGTCACATGGAACAGAGCCTTTGAAGGGATATTAGAATAAATAAATGAGGTAAGATGTGCACAGAGTTTATAAGCTATTTACCAAGCTGGAAACAACAGCCTTAATTTAAACTGACTACGTGAAATGGCCTTCATTTGTAATTCTTCCAACTATTAAACAAACGATTTGGTCACAAGCTTAATAAGCCCATTCATGTTATTATTTCAGTCTGGCTTTGCTGAATATTTTTACTTGAACAAAGTAAAAGGATTATGTCCAATAACTTTAAATGTGAAACCATTTGGTTTCCTTCTCTGTTTAGGAGACTATAGAAATATATTTCCTCCAGTATAAGATGATAAGGGAAAAAATTTACATTAGAAACCATAACAAAGAAAAGTAAAAATGTCAGAGTTACTTTAGAAATGTCTTTAACAAATATTCTCCCTGAGGTGTGGTAGGGGACTCGTTTAATTGAAATTACTGTTGAATTTGTATCATGTGTTCTCTTGGCATGAAGATATAATGAACTATTTTGATTCTTATTGAAGTGTGTGTGTGTATAGTCAAGTTTGTCTAGGAGAGATTCTTAAGACAAATTTAAACAAAAGAGATCTTTTAATTTTTTCTTAAATGCTTTAGTATCTCAATGCATAAACACACTGTTTACTTTTACAGCTGGTCCAGTGTTATTTACTCTTGGCAAATTGTAGACTTACAAAACAAGGCAAATCCCTACCTATTCACCTTCTCAGCAAGAATGACTTCTAACTCACACAGCACATACTGGGCTCCAGTAAAGGGATCTGCTCATATCCATAGAACTAATGAAAGATATATGACTAAGTATACAGCTTAAATGAAGCCAAATGAGCTTAATACAGAAAATATATATGATGATATTAATCATATATAAACAATGTAAAAGATTCATAAGCAAAATTTTATTTTGCCATCACTAATTCTTGTGATTATGAAGATATAACCTAACCTAGGAAGAAAATAGGCAGCTGTTCTTTTTAGAAATTAATTATCTACTGTACAAGCCCACAGGCCTGCAGGTACAATGAAAGCATGAAGGTAACTTCTTTACACTGTGAATGGGTAAAGAAATCCAATGAGGCCAATGTTATCGGTTTCATCGATGCCAATATTTTTTCACTTGTCTTGATATTAAGTAAAGGCTAACTGCCTATGTGAAAACTTTGGTAAAATTATTGTGGCTGCAATAAAACTACAACATACACACATAACCTCCAACAGATCCATTTTAAATGAAGAAAAACAACTACAATTCGTTTTTAAAAATGCTTCAAAAACAGCACATACTGTGGCCACTTCATTGTTCCTGCATCCCTAAAAGGTTCTTAAAATTAATCAGTGAGGTTTCTTCCATCTAATTACATGAACTTTGTCACATGATGTCACATGCTAGCTAACTGCATGAGCAGTGCAGCTGCTCGCATCAACCAAACATAAAAAATATTAAAATTATTATCAGAAGAGTAGTAGGTAAGGATTCTACTTTGCGAGTTGATGGAACTCCACCAAAGGTGTTCTACGTAGAACAGGTACCTTTTCTTCTCCTTCCTTCCTTCTCCTTCCTTCCTTTTTTTCTTTCTTTCTTTCGAGACAGAGTCTCCCTCTGTCACCCAGGCTGGAGTGCAGTGGTGTCGTCTCGGCTCACTGCAACTGCCACTTCCTGGGTTCAAGCAATTCTCCTGCCTCAACCTCGCGAGTAGCTGCGACTACAGGCATGCGCCACCATGCTCGGCTAATTTTTGTAATTTTGGTAGAGACAGGGTTCCGCCATGTTGGCCAGGCTGGTCTCAAACCCTGACCCCAAGTGATCCACCCACCTCGACCTCCCAAAGTGCTGGGATTACAGGCATGAGCCACTGTGCCCGGCCTGTTTTCTTTCTTTTAAAACAAGAATAATGAGGCAAAATATTTGAGTGAAAACAAATAACACAAAAGCACAACTCTTGGAGGAAAAAATCTGACATTTACCAACAGTTTTGGGGAGGTGATACATCAACACTTAAATGATGCAATCCATCACGTGAATCTGTAACGTGTCTATGTCAGGCAGAACCTCTCCACACTTGGGGCAGGAATGAATCGGAATATTCCGCTGTTGCCGCCAGTCCCTGTCCTCAGCTCCTGGGAATAAGTATGATAATTCCATTAGTTCCATTTTGCAGGCAGTTGTGTTTGTTTCACTTGAAGAACAGATGGCGAGTTTTAACATCAGTTCAACTTCGTATTCAACACGTAGTGGGACATGAGCACAGGTGTTTGGTCTTTAACTGAAGTCATCACGATGCACATAGAGAAAAATCTCTCCAAGTGATACCTGCTTCCCTATTATTTTAGGATTTTTTTTTTTTTTTTTTTTTTTTGAGACGGAGTCTCGCTGTCACCCAGGCTGGAGGGCAGTGGCACGATCTTGGCTCACTGCAACCTCCGCCTCCCAGGTTCAAGTGATCCTCCTGCTTTGGCCTCCTGAGTAGCTGGGATCACAGGTGCGCGCCACCACGCCCAGCTAATTTTTGTATTTTTAGTAGAGATGTGGTTTTGCCATGTTGGCCAGACTGGTCTCGAACTCCTGACCTCATGATCTGCCCACCTTGGCCTCCCAAAGTGCTAGGATTACTGGCATGAGCCACTGCGCCTGGCCTGTTTTAGGATTTTTTTCTTTTCTTTACTTTTTTTTCTTGACAGATGGAGTCTCGCTCTTTCTCCCAGGCTAGAGTGCAGTGGCACAATCATAGCTCACTGCAGCCTCTAACTCCTGGGATCCAGTGACCCTCCTGCCTCGGCCTCCTGAATAGCTGCGACTACAGGCACGTGCCACCACACCTGGCTAGTTTTTAAAATTTTTGTAGGGATGGGATCTCACTATGTTGCCCAGGCTGGTTCTGAACTCCTGGTCTCAACTGATCCTTCCATCTCAGCCTCCCATGTACTGGGATTACAGGTGCATTGGTGCATTCTTTTAGGATTTAAACTGTATCCCAGTTTCAAGGTATGCGAAAATACATGGTTTCAGTTCTAGGTACAGGACAATGCATGTTCTAGTAAATACTAGGATATCTGCGAGAAGAAAAGGGATGAATGAGGATATAAGCAAAAGAGGAAGGGAATGTGGAGAAAGAAATCCACAGAGCCCAGGAGAGGTCTCCTAGAACAGAGTGTACCTTCCCAGAAGCAGAGGCAATCATCTCATTTGTTCAGCAGACACTTTTGAATCCTCTGGGATGTATAAAGACACTGCTGTGTGCCGGGAGACAGACGTGGTGGAGAAGCCAGGTGAGAGATGTGGCAGCAGTGGCGTGGCAAAAGTGTTAGGCACGAGTGTTAGGCCAGGTGAGTGTTAGGTGCAAGGGTGTCCATGGGAGAAAGGGAAGGGCCCCTAGTTTAGATCTTGGTGCAGAAAGGCCTCCTAGATGCGACCAATTAACTTGAGAGGGGCCTTGAGAATGAACAGGAGTTATCTACATAAAGTTAACAAGGAGGAATGATGGAAGAATGCACCCTATCATTTCCCCCAGTTTTGGAGTAGTACTGAGGTTCAAGCCTCAATCAGAGCATGTTCGAAATAAGCCCTGACCCTAGCTAGGTCCTGGATCCATACAAACTGTGATGGATGCAAGAAATTATTTCTGGCTCCCGGGCATCTCTCTGTTCTGACCTTTCTGGACCAATGCAAACCGTCTTGGTTTTTTGGACTCAGCCTAGACTTTGGTTTGGCTCTCAAAATGTTTGTTTTTGGAGGCAACCTTTATTTGCTTCTAAGTACATTACTTGGATGTAGTAACATGTATGAATATTTGAGATTGTGTTCAGCAGCCTTAAGAAGCATTTCTGAAGAGGTATGTATTGATCATAAAGCATGGTTTCCAAAGCAGGGAGCTTTCTAATCACCCCATTGCCAGAGAAGAGGGGTCAGCATCCGGGGCTGCCTTTGCTCTCTGACTCCCAGCATAAGCAGTACCTCTTGCACATCCTGGAGGACTCAAAAGTATCTGCTGAATAAATGAGACCATTGCCTCTGCTTCTGAGAAGGTACATTCTGTTCTAGGAGACCTCTCCTGGGTGGGTGGGTCACCTGAGGTCAGGAGTTTGAGACCAGCCTGGCCAACATGGTGAAACGCTGTCTCTACTGAAAATACAAATTAGCCGGGCGTGGTGGCTCACGCCTGTAATCCCAGCACTTTGGGAGGCCGACGTGGGCAGATCTCCTGGGGTCAGGAATTTGAGACCAGCCTGGCCAACATGGTGAAACCCTGTCTCTACTAAAATAAATTAGCCAGGCGTGGTGGCGTGCACCTGTAGTCCTAGCTACTTGGGAGGCTGAGCCAGGAGAATCGCTTGAACCCGGGAGGCGGAGGTTGCAGTGATCCACGATCATGCCACTGCACTCCAGCCTGGGCAAGAGAGTGGGACCCTGTCTCAAAATAAAAATAGAAATAAAAATAAAGTACTTAAGTATCTACCTAGAACACACAAACACCTATAAAATAGCAGACAGGTACCAACATAGAGGAATAAAGTACTTTGGAAGTTCAAAATGGAAACAGTTCATGGAGATGGAGTTTGAAATAGATTTTAAAGATGGGGTAAGAGGTCACTGGAAAGAGACTGGAGGAAGACAGGAATATGCATAAGAAAAGGGCGTCTCTGTGAAGGGCATAATACAAGCAAATACAAGCTTAGGACAAGTTCAAGGGGATGATTCAGTCTGGCTAATGTCTGTAAGAGAACAGAGGGAGACACGGTTTAAAAGTGTGGCTGTAGGCCGGGTACAGTGGCTTGCGCCTGTAATCCCGGTACTTTGGGAGACCGAGACAGGCAGGTTAGTTGAGGTCAGGAGTTCGAGACCAGCCTGGCCAACACGGTGAAACCCCATCTCTATTAAAAATACAAAAATTAGCTGGGTGTGGCGGTGCACGCCTGTAATTCCAGCCACTCGGGAGGCTGTGGAAGGAGAACCGTTTGAACACAGGAAGTGGAGGTTGCAGTGAGCCGAGATCTCGCCACTGCACTCCAGCCTGGACGACACAGCGAAATTCTGTCTCAAAAAAAAAGAAAAAAAAGAAAAAGTGTGGCCGTGCCAGGCACCTTCTGGCAGGGTGAAGGGTCTGGTCTGGATTCGGTGGGTAATGGATGGAGATGGGAGTGCTGTGGTAATGAGACTGACGGGTGCTATATTTTTGGTGCCTTGATTTGGAATCCATTGTAGAGAATGAAGTGGAATTTTTCTTCAAGCATCTTTTTCATAGGATAGCTATTTCCTGAAAATCCAGGATCACACGGGACTCACCTCTTTGAACAAGGTAAGCCTGCTGGTCAGAGTCACTTGTTCTCGCCCCATGACGACTCTGCATCTCCATCAAGGACTGCCTGCCAGGACGAAAAGCAACACGCTGTGTGATGTTCTACAACCCCGAAACATGACAACACTGAGCAGACAGTCCACAGAAGTAGGGGAAAAAAGACTCAAACTACACTGCCAAGGTTCATAAAAACCAGACTAATTTTAGTTTTAAATACTATTGGCACTAGGAGACTAGTGAAAGTAAATAATTACAGTTAAAAAAAATCAGGAAATAACCAAACTGTCATCAGTAGGAAACAGATTAGAAAGAAGTGGCATATTTATAAATCAAAATACAGCAATGAAGTATAATAAATTACATCCGCACATATCAAGAGAGCTCAAAATCATAATATTATGTAAAGTAAGCTGCAGAACAATACCTACAGTGATCATTTTGTAACTTAAACACAGAGAAATCAATATTATCTGGTTTTGAGATATGATATAGGTAAGTGTGTATGTGATATGTAAAAGTATAAAATAGATGGGGAAGCTACCCACCAAATTCCTAACAGCACAAGGTAAAGAAGAAAGGAATATAATGATGGATGGGGAACAAAGGAGACTTTGATTCTAACTACAACTCCCTTTTTCCTTTAATAAAAAAAAAATACTTGAAGCAAATAAAAGCAGTTGTCAATGCAGGAAGGAGTACATAGTAGAGTCTGTTATTTTATTCTCTGAATTTTGCTGTGTTTTAAAACTTTCTCAAAATAAATTTCTAAAAGTCAGAAGTAATTTTTGTTAGTATTTTTTAAAGAATATTCAGGAATTTAAAGTGCTACGAATATTTCATCCGTGACGATGGCAAGATAGGTCATTGGGACACGTAACATTATTGTTACAAGTGCATGGTGGCATGCACTTGTAGTTCCAGCTACTCGGGAGGCTGAGGCACGAGGATCACCTGAGCTCAGGAAGTTGAGGCTGCAGTGAACCATGATCATGCCACTGCACTCCAGCCTGGGTGACAGGAGTGAGACCCTGCCTCAAAAAACAAAACAAAACAACACAACATTTTAAAATCAAATCAAAATCCTTGCTTATCTAAAAGCAAGGAGCTTGATCAAGCTCCCACAAGTCTCTGTCAAGCTTTCCTGTAAGACAAACTAAGTGTTGGGAACATGATCACATGAAGTGTAAGTGAAGCAATTATTATTATTATTATTTATTTTTCAGACAGGGGACTCGCTCTGTCACCTAGGCAGGAGTGCAGTGGCGCGAACACAGCTATTCTTATAGTTCAAATCAGGAACGTCTTTGGACAGGCACCTCTTCTACGGCCATGCTGATGTGAGCTCTGGGTCCTCCTCTCTCTTTTCCTTACCTGCCTCCGTCTTCGAAAGCATCATTCTCTTTCAGCAGAACTGCCAGCTGCAATGCCAGTTGCTCCTTTTCCTCATGAATTTTCTCTCTCGCTGCTCTTTCAGCATGAAAATCAGAACAGTAAACTTCCATCTGTTAGAGGAAAAAAAGATACAGAAGTTAGTACCTAGATGAATGCAGATTCTTACAGTGTTTATGCGATGAGGAGGTAGTGCTGTATCCTTCAATAGCCCTTGTGAATCACAGATGCACAATCCTGCTAGAAAACAGTATAATGACCATGACTTTCCAGGTACATTCCGATAGCAGATACAAGCTGTGTTTGTGTGTGTGCTTTAAACAACACAAATCCTGCAACTGCACTGATATAGGTAGTTTAAATACTGTAGGTACCATTAATTCAGCAAAATTATCTGGACTTTTAGATAATAAACAATTCAGGATCAACTTAATATAGTAAATGATTACTTAATATAGTAAATTGATTCTGCCAGGTGTATTTATGAAGGCTGGTCTTAAGCTAAATTTAAAAGAATAATCATCACAAATAGATGCTATTTGTTAAATTCCAAACATGTGTGAGGTCCTATGTTGGGTGCTTTACATTTACTATCTTATTTTACCTTATGAAATATCCTGAGAATAAAGAATGGCTATCCTCATTTTACAAACTTAACGGCTCTTAATCTTGGGAAAATTTGTTAAGTGGCCAAATCAGCATTTGAACCAGACAGAAGACCATTTCCCATGAACTTTTCCATATTCAATCCATGTCCCATGTGTGGTCACCAGCCTCCTAAGATGGCTCCAGTGATCCTTGCCTCTTGGTATTCATCACCTTGTATGTTTCCCTCCCACAATGAATAAACCCAACCTGTGTAACCTCCAGGATGCCGCAGAAGTGATGGTGTACGGCTTCTGAGACTAGGTCACAAAAGACGCTGTCACTCCTTGCTCTCTGTTGGATCACTTGCTTTGGGGGAAGCCAGCTGCCATGACATGAGGGCACCCAAGCATCCCTCTGGAGGAGACCACATGGTGAGGAACTGAGGCCTCCTGCTGACAGCCTGGGCAACATGGCAAAACCTCATCGCTACTAAAAATACAAAAAATCAGCTGGGCATGATGGCATGCACTTGTAGTTCCAGCTACTTGGGAGGCTGAGGCACGAGGATCACCTGAGCCCAGGAAATAGAGGTTGCAGTGAACCACGATCATGCGACTGCACTCCAGCCTGGGTGACAGGAGTGTGACCCTGCCTCAAAAAACAAAACAACACAACATTTTAAAAATTAAGTAATTTTTAAAAAATTATAAATAACAAAACACTTAATAGTGTTTTAATATTTAATGCTGTCAGCTAATTGAGTGAACTGTTCCATTGGTATTGGAATTTAATACTAATTTTTCACTTTCTATGTTTAAAATTAGTTTTTTCTTTTCAAATTTGCTGGTTCTGAGATATAAATTATTATCCATTATTTTAAAAGTAAAATTAAAAATCTAAATATTCTATCAAAACTATAGTTACTTAAAAGTATGTAATAAAGAGATCATTTTAAGGGATATCCTATCAATGTGAGTGGTTCAGCATCTCACAGTGTTGGCAGTGGATCATGGGTGTTTTGGAGTATGACTTAAATTCGATTTAGTCTCACTTCTATCACTTACTAGCTTTGAGCCAGTAAGAACAGAGTCTTTGTTTTGTCTATTCCTATATCCCAGGCAGTAAGAACAGTGTCTGATTTTTTTTTTTTTTTTTTTTTTTTTTTTTGAGATAGAGTCTCGCTCTGTCGCCCAGGCTGGAGTGCAGTGGCATGATCTCGGCTCACTGCAACCTCTGCCTCCCAGGTTCAAGCAATTCTCCTGCCTCAGCCTCCCGAGTAGCTGGGACTACAGGTGCCCGCCAACACGCTCGGCTAATTTTTGTATTTTTAGTAGAGACGGGGTTTCACCATATTGGCCAGGTTGGTCTCGAACTCCTGACCTTGTAATCTGCCTGCCTCGGCCTCCCAAAGTGCTGGGATTACAGGTGTGAGCCACCATGCCCGGCCGTCTCTGACATATTATAAGTGCTCAAAAAAGAAGTTATTGAATGAATGAGCAAGAGTATCCATCAAGAGAAAACAAATGTCTATGTCTAGAATGAGCAAAAATACATGACTGCAGCAGAGTGGAAGAACCCAATGACATGAGTTACCCAAGCAAGGAAATGCTCTGAAGAGCTGAGAATGCAGGTTGAGGCTCTATTCCTGTAGAAATAAAACTAAAGCTATAAGTACCAGTCAACTGGCTGCATTTCACAGGGGTCAGCCACTCTGGGCAGCTGGTGATAATGAGTCTGTATGTAGGGAATAACAAACTGCTGACATTATTATATTAAAAATAATATGTTCATCAGATTGGCCAAGGTTTTTAAAATAATGCAAGAATGTGAGGACATAGGAGTGCTTATCTTTTGGTGAGAGTATAATTTTGGTTAGGCAGTTTTAGAAGACAGCTTGGTAATATTTATTTAACTGAGAAATGGACATAACTCATGATCCAACCATTCAAATGGATGCTGGCCAGGCACGGTGGCTCACGCCCGTAATCCCAGCTGGGCAGATCATGAGGTCAACTGTTCGAGACCACCATGGCTAACGTGGTGAAACTCCATCTCTACTAAAAATACAAAAATTAGCTGAGCGTGGTGGTGTGCGCCTGTAGTCCCAGCTACTTGGGAGGCTGAGGCAGGAGAATGGCTTGAACCCGGGAGGTGGAGGTTGCAGTGAGCCAAGATCGTGCCACTGCACTCCAGCCTGGTGACAGAGCTAGACTCTGTCTCAAAAAAAAAAAAAAAGTTTGATGCTTTATAATAAGACAGCATGGTACCAGAGCAAAGATATATGAGTAGACCAATAAAATAGAACAAAATCCAGAAACAGACCCATGCATATATGGACACAAGTTATGATGAAGAGGGCAGCAGAGCACTTAAGAAAAGATGGCTTAAATGGTGCCAAGTTAACTGGATATTCATATAGGAAAAAAATAAATATTTACCCTTACCTCATTTTCTATAGACAAAAGCCAATTTCAAATGGTTTGTACATCTTAATGTAAAAGGTAAGACAACAAAATTTTTAGAAGACAACAGAGGGAATATCTTCCTGGCCTTGGGGTAGTAAAAGTTTCTTAAACAGGACACAAAAAGTACTAATCATAAATGAGAAGGCTGATATACTGGACTACCTTAAAACTAAGAACTTTTGTTCCTCAAATGACACCTTTATGAGAGTGAAAAGGCAAAAATAACTGACAAAGACTTGTATGTGCAGTATACATAGAAGTCATTACATTTTTTTAAAAAGCCAGGCCAGGCGCAGTGGCTCATGCCTGTAATCCCAGCACTCTGGGAGGTGGAAGTGGGTGGATCACCTGAGGTCAGGAGTTTGAGACCAGCCTGGCCAACATGATGAAACCCCATCTCTACTAAAAATACAAAAATTAGCCAGGCATGTTGGCACATGCCTGTAGTCCCAGCTACATGGGAGGCTGAGGCAGGAGAATCACCTGAACCCAGGAGGCAGAGGTTGCAATGAGCCGAGATCATACCACTGTACTCCAGCCTGGGCGACAGAGCAAGACTCTGTCTCAAAAAAAATGCCAGGCAAACCAAACCAAAAAAAAAAAAAAAAAAAAAAAAAAAAAAAAGGCAGGCTTGATAAGGCACTTCACAAAAGAGGATACCTCAAAGGCCAAAAACACTTGAAAAAGTACTCTTTCCCATTAGTGATCAGGGAAATGCAAATTAAATGAGATACCACTATATACCCTCCAGAGTGGTTAAAGGAAAATGACTGATAATAGAAGTGTTGGTAAGATGTAGAGCCATGGAAACTCTCTGTTGATGGGAGTGAAAACTGGTCCAACCACTCTGGAAAACTGTTTGGCATTACCTGTTAAAAGTGAGTAACATGCAGAGCCTATGATCCAGCGACTCCACTCCTAGGTGTGTACCCAACAGAAATATAAAATATCCACATGTGAACAGAGCAACATGCACAGGAATGTCTTAGCAACGTTAATCATAATGCCACAAACTGGAAAGAATCCAATTACCTATTAAATGTAGAACAGATAAGATCCACTGAGCACTTTCCAAATGTTTCAATTTTAAAGTTTTAATACACTCACGGGTGAAAAAATATATAAAATAGAAAATTACAAACATTCTAAACACCATTGCTTTCCAATGCGAGAATACAGTCAGGGCTGGCCTCGCTCAGCTGGGGTTTTGGAAGGTGCCTCACCTGAGCCCTGAGGATGGTCATGGTTTCCAGGTCCTCTTCCTGCTTGGCAATGGTTTGCTTCATTTCATCCATTTGCAGCTGTTTGGAAGCCAGAGCCTTCTCTGCCAGTTCCAGTTTTTCACTCAGTTCCTTCAGCACTGCCCTGTCCACTTTTTCTGACTGAAAAAGAAACATTTATTCTAGAAATGGTTTTGAAATAATTCTGCCTGTTTTAGTAAAATATTAGAAAAAGGTTTATTTTTTTAATTATCAGCTCTGGCCGGGTGTGGTGGCTCATGCCTAGAATTGAGAGGCTGAGGTGGGAGGATCGTTTGAGCCCAGGAGTGGGAGACAAGCCTGGGCAACATAGCGAGATCTAAAAAATGTATCAGCTCTAACCAGTCTATTAATCAGCAACGCTAACTTATTCAGAAAGTTGTATTTAAGTTGTGGCTTGCAAATAATGAATTCCTAAAAAAAAGGTGATAACACCGAAATCAGGGATACAATAACAAACTCCAATGTTAATAAGGCTGTGACTCGTTGATACTGTTATTTTGCCACTTGTTACTTCCTGCAGTCAGTGGAAAAGAAGAAACATGTTTTAAATTTAAAATTATTAGGTCCAAGAGAGGAACACTACTGCTGGGCATGATGGCTCACACCTGTAATCCCAGCACTTTGGGAGGCTGAGGCACGTGGATTGCCTAAGCTCAGGAGTTCAAAACCATTCTGGGCAACATGGCAAAACCTCCTCTTTAAAAGAAAATAAATGAAAAACAAAGAGTATATTTACAAGGCTAAAAATTCAAAGATCCCTTCTAATTCACAAGCTTCTGTGGTCTCTAAACTATCACACCATGCTGGCATTATTACTAATTTATTTATTGTTTTCTTTTTTTAGAGACAGGTTCTCACTCTGTCACAGGCTGGAGTACAGTGGCGTGATCACAGCTCACTGCAGCCTTGACCTCCTAGGCTCAAGTGATCCTCCTGCCTCAGCCTCCCAAGGAGCTGGGACCGCAGGCACGAACATCACACTTGGTTAACTCTTTATTTTTTGTAGAGATAGGGCCTCCCTGTTGCCCAGGCTGGTCTCAGACTCCTGGGTTCAAATGATCCTCCAGCCTTGGCCTCCCAAAGTGCTGGGATTACATGCATGAGCTACCACACCTGGTCCATTATTATGAATTTAAACTGCAGGCTGATGATTCCAGGGTCCCAAATTCACTGACAGCAGGCACGCTGGTCTTGCACAATTCCCCAGAGCAGATGGCCCTTCCTACCCATAGAAGCCCATGCTCTTAGCTCTCCTACAAACCTATCCTTAGAAATACGAAGTGCTGGCCGGGCGCGGTGGCTCACGCCTGTAATCCCAGCACTTTGGGAGGCCGAGGCGGGTGGATCACGAGGTCAGGAGATCGAGACCATCCTGGCTAACAAGGTGAAACCCCGTCTCTACTAAAAATACAAAAAATTAGCCGGGCGCGGTGGCGGGCGCCTGTAGTCCCAGCTACTCGGGAGGCTGAGGCAGGAGAATGGCGTGAACCCAGGAGGCGGAGCTTGCAGTGAGCCGAGATCGCGCCACTGCACTCCAGCCTGGGCGACAGAGCGAGACTCCGTCTCAAAAAAAAAAAAAAAGAAATACGAAGTGCTTAATCCCTGACCATAGGACATTCACATCATCTTTGTACGCAATAAAGCACATTACACATATGTGGAACATCAGAAGTTACAAACCCTAGATGCAAGAAATAATGATACATTGGAAAACAACCTTTGAAACCAGATTTAGTGAAGGATTCATGTAACTATTTTATATACAAAACGTTCAACAGTTTCTGTTCATTACTAGGCTATGGAAGTAATTTTTTTCAGTGAATACCTCTTTTCTTGTTAGTTCCTCAATTGTTTTCAATGCATTATTATGTTCTTGAAGAAGCTTGTTGTGTGTCATCTGTAGCACAGTTAATTTGGACCTATTAAAAAAGATATTAAAAAATGGAATCCTGGGGAAAATATCATAGAAACTTATAGTCTTGCCTCCCAACCTTCTGAACACTCCAGTAGAAAAATCTTCTCGCCTACCTTTATCACCCCACGACCTACTAGCATTTCTTACTCTCAAAAAAAATCTTTTCTGAAAAATCAAGACAGAGTGCAAACAATCAGCATAATTTTATTATGACAAAACTTTTAAATTTTATCCCCCTCTCTGAGAGGTCTGCTAGGACTCCTTCAGATAAGTGAAAAAGAAATTTTTTAAAATTTATTCTCAAATCCGAATTCCAATCTGTATAAAAAGGCGATTCTCCCTCCTCTGCCCCGTCGCTGCCCTTCTGACTCAACATACTCACTTTTCATCCTCTGTTTTAGCCTGTTCCATTTTGATTTCTGATAGCATGCTTTCCACTTGTAGCTCTAACTTTTTGTTAGTATAAACAAGCTCTTGCTTTTCATTCAACTCTGATGGAATTGCAGAATTTTTCCTTTCAAGGGCCTGACACCTAAGAAAGGTCAAGATTTCATGAGGATAAACAATGCTCCTTTACGTCGCAGTGGCTTTTAAACAAACCCCAAGGTTATGTACAATATAAGAATTTTAGGGCTGTAGGGTTTATGAATGCAAAATGAAATACATAATCCTCCTTGCTTCTTCACTAGACCTGGCCATATTTCTGAACCCTTACGCCTAAACATAAAAAAGTACAGATCTAAGCTCACATGCAGTACTGTCCTCTTTGAATAATTGTTTAAACTAGTCATACAGATACATTTTTAGTATTTAAACACAGACCACAGTAGTAATTAGCTAAGGCGCTTCTCATGTAGTGATGTGTGGATATCTTTTATATTAAAAAAAAAGTTATAGGTTCTGTCAATTGCAAAGACTTTAGTTTCTGACAAAGATTCAATAAGGGAAAAAGGAAGTTCCCCTAAGTCTTCTTAAAGATCGGAAAGAGGATTTCAATATAATACAAATAAATGACAGCTATGCACAAAGCATTAATGCCCAGCCCATTAGACATATCATTTAACACAATGTATATAGAAGAAATTACAACACACAATTTACAAATGCCAAGACAGGCTCAGAGAATTGAAATAAATACCTTGCCCAACACAAATAAGTTGCAGACTCATATGTTAAATCTAGGTCTGTTTGTCCAAAGTCCTTAGTTGTAGCTGCCATGTTGTATCACGTTACCATAATTCTACAGAGTGTTGGGAATTATAACCTCAAGAAAACACACACACCTCCGTATTGTGCTAGAAACATGTTTGCCAATGAATCCAATAGAACAGCATCAACTTAGGTTTGCTAAGTTTTGGGTAACTTCTTACATCAAGAGAAACAAGCAAATGCCAAACGCTCAATCTACATGTTAGCCTGAAATAATTAACTGATTGAAATAACAAATTGAAATTGACCTTTTTCCAAATAAATGTCACTCAAGATCTTTATGCTCTTTTCATCTTTCTTTATGCTTACTCACATCAATGTCATCAGCTTAAGTCAGTAACAGGAAAACTAGCTCACAGCTTTACTGTAGAGATCTTACCCAGGCTCGTACATTTAACAAATGCCCCTAAATGGCAGAATTAAAGTTCTCCAGTCCCCAACCCCCCATCTTACAAGTATTTCATGCTCACACATTAACTGGAACATTAGTATATTCTGAATTTATATTTTAATTAGGTGTCTATTTTTCTTTTAGTCATAACATAGTTAAAAAACTATGTTTTTATATAGTAGTATACTTTGTAAAAATGTATATTTCAAAGGAGGATAAAATTGCTCTCTCATTCTTACTTTTCTTGAAGTCTCTTCTTCATTAGCTCAGCTTCGCTGAGTTTTGTATGAGCCTCTTGAAGCTCCTTAAACAGAGATGTCACCTGGAGGTTCAGTGCTTCCACTTCGCTTCCAACCTATCATACGGGAAATCCCAAACATATCTGTACAATTATCATCTGACATTAAACAAACCTCTTTAGGAGAAAACAGGCTGAACCATTAGTAGCCAATTAAGACTGGCTGGTGAATCAATCCAACTTTGACAATACCCCAAACATTGTGTAGGAAAAGAATGTTTTGGATACTTGGTACTTAGGTTTGCTAAGTTTTGGGTAACTTCTGTTTCCTAATAAAGCATGAACTAATCAATTTGGATGCACTGGGATAATGACTTTATCGCTATTAAAATGAACCCTATTCCAGGTTCAGAGATCATAGACCACAGAGGTGTCAAAGCACAGTCCTATCTATCCAGCTAACAACTTGCCCCCATACTCTCTTCCCAGTGTATGTTTCTAGTTTACTCAACTATTTTTGTTGTGCAGCCTTTTTCCTGGCAGCTCTATAATTTTTGTAAATGAGTTTCTGATGCCTTGAAAGACCATATTTCCCTGCTACTGGCTGTTGAATTCGTTTTAGTCAACAGGGAACTATTATTCACTGGTGGTCTCTTCATCTGTTTTCTAAATGTTCTCTCTTCTTTCAACAGTAAGGTCTCAGTCTCCTGACATACAATAGGCATTCAATGTACATATTTGTTGAATAAATTAATTACCTAAAGTGAATATTTTATGTAAATGCCTTTCACGTGGGCCCCTATGGCTATCAACCTTCACGGCTTCATTAACTTCCGAAAGCTGAAGACTCTCTGCAGACTCGAAGGCACCTCTCTCAATTACCAGACAACACTGAACAAGACAACAGTGAACCTTTTCCTTTCAAACTACTTTATTCAAACCAGTAATGGGATAGAACCCAAATCTTTCAATTCTCCCTCAAGTTTCTAAGTCATATCCTCAAATGATCTCATTATAAAGTGGACAACATTCCTTTTCCTACAGTAGGCTTGTTCATTGAAGGACCGAGGAGAAGAAATCAGTCAAGAAGAGACATAGGAAATCGTTTTGTAGAATACTGATAGAAATACATCTTGCAGCTGGGCGCAGTGGCTCATATCTGTAATCCCAGCACTCTGGGAGGCCGAGGTGGGAGGATCACGAGGTCAAGAGATCAAGACCATCCTGGCCAACATGGTGAAACCCTGTCTGTATTAAAAATACAAAAATTAGCCAGGCGTGGTGACGGGCACCTGTAATCCCAGCTACTTGGGAGGCTGAGGCAGGAGAACTGCTTGAACCTGGGAGGCGGAGGTTGCAGTGAGCTGAGATCGTGCCACTGCACTCCAGCCTGGCGACAGAGTGAGACTCCATCTCCAACAACAACAACAAAAAAGAAATACATCTCGCTACAATTGACACAGAGCAGGACAAGGACATATAAAAGGAATAGATAGATAATATTCAATATCAACATGATTTCTATATTTCTAAAGCAAATAACCCATCACAAGATTTGAATTCAGTGGCTGGACTACTCTCGTGTGTGTGGGTGTGGTAGTGGCCGTGGAATCTTAGGACTCACAGTCTCCGGGCCTTTCTCTTCATCATTCTCTTTCTCTGTGCTCCCCTCTGTCTGGGTTTCAATCTCAGAACGATTACTTGTTTTCTTTTCAAAATCTGAAACTCTGGAAAATCACAGAAGATAGAAAAGTTACTTTCTCTTTGGCTTTAAGAGAAATAGCAATTATTACAGAAGTACTAAAAAGAACATTGTTTACAATTGGGATAAAGGATCAGGGGTTTTCAAAATCTCTACACATTCACTATATTAGCATTAGTTTTATTTTTCATCCTAAAATTGGCTAGAATTGATTCACAGACAAATACACACAGAGGTAAAAGGCAAGTGAAACTCATCTTGAACACCATTTGTTTCCATGCAACTGTCCTATGCAGCAATGTTTTTGAAATTGTTTGTGTTTACACATGTGGATGCATGTGTGTTCCATGAACATGGTATCTCATTCATAAGAATTCATTAGAGAAGGAAAGACTTTTCCTTTTAGGACACAGCTAAGTTTAAAAGTCACCGAATAAACGACAACAAAAAAAGTAACACCATTCTTAACACCAAATCATAACCACAGGAAAGCCGTCCCAATCCAAATGAAACAAGAGACTGTGGTTAAAGATAATGGGTTGAACAGATGCATGCAATTTTTTTCCCAGCCCAAACTCTACTAAAAGGACCTTCAAAAAGCCATGTGCCTACAGGAACAAAGAAAAAGGGAGAGGAAATAATAGTAGGAAAATTTGGCAGTACAGGTCTGAGTGGGGCCTTACCAGCCCAAGAAGGCCGACCTTTGAGCCAACAGTAGGGACAGCCAAGAAGCAACCAGATTCACACTGTGGGAACTCCAGGACACTCAAGCATGAGTGACACCAGGAACCTCTGAAGTGATGACAAAGGTGGGGCCTTAGCTTTCCCCCTAAGATTAGGAACAAGACAAGGATGCCTGCTCTCTCCATTTCTATGTAACACTTTTTTTTTTTTTTTTTTTTTTTTTTTACAGGATAATCAGGCAAGAAAAAGAAATAAAAGGCATTCAGACTGGAAAAGAAGCAGCAAGACTATCTCTGCGATGACACAATCCTGGAGATAGCAATTCTCCCCAAATCATTTGGGGATACAATGCAATCCCTAGTAAGATCCCAGCTGGCTTTTTTCACAAATTAACAAGCTGATCCTAAAATTCTTACGCAACAGCAAAGAACCCAGAAGAGCCAACAGTCTTTAAAAAGAAGAACAAAGTTGGAAGGCACTATCTCTCGAGTGCAATTTCAAGTCTCTCCACCTTCTGATTCCCTTCCCTTAGCCACAGCAGGAGCTGGCTCACAGTTAACTCCTTCCTCATATGGTTAGGCTTTGTTGTCCCCACCCAGATCTCATCTTGAATTGTAATCCCCATAATCCCCATGTGTCAAGGGAGAGACCAGGTGGAGGTAATTGAATCACGGGGGCAGTTTCCTCCATGCTGTTCTCGTGATAGTGAGTGAGTTCTCATGAGATCTGATGGTTTTCTAAGTGTGTGGTAGTGCCTCCTGCGTTCCTTCTCCTTTCTGCCACCTTGTGAAGAAGGTGCCTTGCTTCCCCTTCGCTTTCCGCCAGGATTTGTTAGGTTTCCCAAGGCCTCCCTAGCCATGCTGAACTGTGAGTCAGTTAAACCTCTTTCTTTTATAAATTACCCAGTCTCAGGCGGTTCTTCATATAAGTATGAAAACGGGCTAATACACTTCCTGATTTCAAAACTTACTACAAAGCTATAGTACTCAAGACATTGTGGTACTGGCGTAAGGACAAACATAGATCAATGAAACAGAACTGAGAGTCTAATGAAGTTGAACTCCTATATCACAACATACACAGAAACAAACTCAAAATGGACCACAGGCTTAAATGTCAGAGATGAAACTACAAAATTCTTTTTTTTTTTTTTTTGAGACAGAGTCTCACTCTGTCACCCAGGCTGGAGTGCGGTGGCCAACTGTAATTTTGGCCACCGCGCCAGGCCAAAACTACAAAATTCTTAGGAGAAAAACATAGGAGTAAATCTTTGTGACCTTGGGTTAGGCAACGGTTTCTCAGATGGGACATCAAAAGCACAGGTGACAAAAGAAAAAGGAGATAAACTGTATTACATCAAAATAAAAACAAATGTGCTGCAAATGATACCATCAAGGGAAAAGACGATCCACAGAATGGGAGAAAATAGTTGCAGATCAGCCGGGCGCGGTGGCTCACGCCTGTAATCCCAGCGCTTTGGGAGGCTGAGGCGGGCAGATCACGAGGTCAGGAGATCGAGACCATCCTGGCTAACATGGTGAAACCCCGTCTCTACTAAAAATACAAAAAAAAAAAATTAGCCGGGCGTGGTGGCGGGCGCCTGTAGTCCCGGCTACTCGGGAGACTGAGGCAGGAGAATGGCGTGAACCCGGGAGGCGGAGCTTGCAGTGAGCCGAGATTGCGCCACTGCACTCCAGCCTGGGTGACAGAACGAGACTCCGTCTCAAAAAAAAAAAAAAAAAAAGAAAGAAAATAGTTGCAGATCATATATTTAATAAGGGTCTTGTATCCAGAATGTAAAATGAACTCTTATAATTCAACATAAAAAGACAAATAACCCAATTTTTAAAAATGGGCAAAGGCTCTGAATAGACTTTTCTCCAAATCAAACAAACGGTCAACATGAAAAGATGCTCAACATCGCTGTCACTAGGGAAATACAAATCAGAACTATGAGATACCAATTCACATCCACTAGGATGGCTGAAGTCAAAGTGAAAACAGTAAGAAACAAGTGTTGGTATGGACGTGGAGAAAGTGGAATGCTCATGCACTGCTGGTGGGAATGCAAAATGGCGCAGCTGCTTTGGAAAATGATTTGCTGGTTCCTTAGAATATGAAATAGCGATACCGTATGACCCAGCAATTCCACCCATAACGATATACCCCAGAGAATTAAAAACACATATCCCAGTAAAAACTTGTACACACTGTTCATAGCAGCATTATTCCTAATAGGTAAAAAGTGGCAACAACTCTAATGTTTATCAACTGATGAATGAATAAACAAAATGTTGTATATATAGACAATGGAAGGTTATTCAGCAAGGAAAAGGAAGTACTGATACATGCTACGTTGTAGATGAACCTCAAAAACATTATGCTACGTGAAAGAAGCCAGTCACAAAAAACCACAGACTGTATAATTCCATTTATATGAAATGTCTAGAATGGCCAAATCTATAGAGACAGAAAGCACATTGCTTGGAGGAGCAGACAGTGAGTGCTGTTTGGGGGAAAAAATGTTCTAAAATTATATTGTAGTAACAGTGGTTGCACAATCCTGGAATATTCTAAAAAACACTGAAATGTATACTTTAAATGGGTGAACTGTATGGTATCTTAATTATATCTCAGGAAAGCTGTTTTAAAAAAACACATATTTCAAGTTAACCTATTTCATACCTTTCTTTGGCCTCCTTGAGTGCAACTTCAAGTCTCTCCACCTTCTGATTCCCTTCCCTTAGGCACAGCAGGAGCTGGCTCACAGTTAACTCCTCATGTTCGAAGTAATTCTTGGCCCCATCTGCAGATCTGCTCCTATATTTAGACAATGCCCTGTTCAGTATAAAGGTTAAAAGGTTTTCATCAGAAAAATTCCAAAGACTAAGAAGAGAGTAACCCAATATAACTGGGACCAGCTTAAAGGAACTGCTTTCCAGAACATTCTCCAACTAATTCTCAACTAGTGAACAAGCACAGCTGGTCCTGGGACCCCCAGTGCCAAGCTCCTCCATGCTTCCTAGGGAAGGTGTGGAGACTCAGTGAGGCTCTGGAGAGGCCAGCTTACAATGCACACACCCACGTCCTCCAAACAGTCACTGTGTACCTCACACCACACCACAAAACTCACGGAACAGTTCAGCAGAGGCAGCCGTGGCTGAAGGTGCCAAGCTTTCCAGAGATCTAGTCTCAAAGGGGACTGCAGTCAGACAAAAGATAAAGGCACATTGTACAGACCACTGGCCTTTCTCCAAGTTAACAGAGACCATCACAGCTTAAGTCAAGGGGAGAAAACCTTTTTCACTTGTGGTTTCAAATAATGAGAGCAGAGAAATGGAGGCTCTGTTGATATGTCAAGTATTTTTCTCGATTTCAAAATCTGACTAAATCAAGAGACATATCAGTGACAAACAGAATCATGATCACTGTTACAAAACATGAGGGATGACTATGATGATGCTAACGGCAGCTACTCTTTCAGTCACCGACTCAGGTTCGCATAGCTAATAAACAGCCAGGATTAAATCCCGGTTTCCAGGACTCTGAAGCTTCAACTCCAAACCTGGAAATCAATCTCAAACTAATTACGATACTCACAAATGGTACAGAGCTGTTATTTTAAAAATAGCCATGTGGCTTAAAAGAGGAAGCGGTCTTTGCATCTGGATATGAATGATGAGGAAGTGGCTTTGATATTTCAACCAGGGCTTTTTTATTTCCCACTACTTCCAGGAACGTCTTTAAATATGACAAAAGCAATTTGGGGGAAACGTGAAGAATTGTTAACCAAAAAAGGGAATTACTTTCGTTTATGCCAATTACTGTGTTTGACGAAAGAATATTATCTAATACTTACTTTCTTCCTTATACAAGGGCTTAGAAACATAACGGAAGACAATTTTTTTCACGTTTTGTAAGTCATTCTATATGCACATTCATCAAGTTATACAAAGAAGGTTTTACAAATCTATGAGATAGCTGGGCGCAGTGGCTCACGCCTGTAATCCCAGCGCTTTGGGAGGCTGAGACCAGAGGATCACCTGAGGTCAGGAGTTCGAGACCAGCCTGGTCAACACAGTGAAACCCTGTCTCTATTAAAAACACAAAAAGTTAGCTGGGCGTGGTGGCGGCCACCTGTATTCCCAGCTACTCGGAAGGCTGAGGCAGGAGAACTGCTTGTACCCGGGAGGCAGACGTTGCAGTGAGCTGAGATTGCGCCACTTCACTCCAGCCTCAGTGGCAGAGTGAAACTCCATCTCAAAAAAAAAAAAAAAAAAAAAAAACTCCATCTCAAAAAAAAAAAAAAGATGGATCTCTTATCCGTCTGTGAGATAAGAGATCCTGGCCGGGCGCGGTGGCTCATGCCTGTAATCCCAGCGCTTTGGGAGGCCAAGGCGGGCAGATCACGAGGTCAGGAGATCGAGACCATCCTGGCTAACACGGTGAAACCCCATCTCTACTAAAAATACAAAAAATTAGCCGGGCATGGTGGTGGGCGCCTGTGGTTCCAGCTACTCGGGAGGCTAAGGCAGGAGAATGGCGTGAACCCGGGAGGCGGAGCTTGCAGTGAGCCGAGATCACGCCACTGCACTCCAGCCTGGGCAACAGAACAAGATTCCGTCTCAAAAAAAAAAAAAAAAAAGAGATCCTTAGAGTTCTTTTCAGACAATCGTCTCTTGAATAGATGATTACAGGAGTAAGCAGCTTGCAGAAGGCGAGCTAGCAGTCTCCTTGGTGAGCACTGCTTTGCGAGAGTCAAGAGGTTCAGGCGCTCAGTTCTAGGTCTGCCTCCCTCCCCAAGGCCCTGCCACTATTTAAGATGTCTGTTTCCTCACATCTACATAGGACAGGTACACTTGAGACTCCACAGATAAGAAATCTGGGCACTTTCAGGCAACACCCACAATGACTGAGAGTGCTATCAGTCATTGTTACAAAAGATGTTCCAGTATTGGCCATGCCAGCTTATAACTGGGAAGTAGCAGGGAAAAGAAAATGAAAATATTTCACTTATGGAAGCTGGGCAGGCTGGTCTGGGTCAAATGGCACCGGGGAACCAATGAGCAAACATGTCTTTGATTAGGAACAAATCATTGACTTGATTGAGAACCAGTTTGCTTTCACTTTTCATCTGCTGGAGGTGAGACACCACTAGAACAGAGCAGTCAGTGTGAGCCAAACAGGAACCAAACAGTTTTTAATCTTTGCCAGTTTGAGCTGCAACATTAAATAGCATTCAAACCAAATATTCTGGAAAGATCCTGGTATAAATCATAAAGAAGTTACTTCCTCAGGTCACAACATTTGACCTCCGGTGACAAGCACCCAGTGACGAGCCTGCCCAGCCTGTCTGCCTGACAGCCCGAGTCTTCCTTCACATACGTGCCAGTGGAGACTGTTCTCGTGGGCCCAGGACTATGCTTGATTTCTTTTACTGACCCTTCTGCTTCTCCTTCCTGTGAAAACAGAAATGCAAGGGATTTAACACAATATGTCTACAAGACAAATTCTTTGTCAAAAGAAGAAAAAGACAAAAGATGAATTTTTGTGACATGCAACCCAAGGAAGCTTCCAAACATTCAGATGTGCACTGTTTAAACGGGGTGGCTCAGAGGAAATGGAAACGTACCCTCCCCTCACCTGGCACGCCCTGTCGGGATTATAAATATCCCAGCTAAGGCGTGAAGGTCAGTTTCATCTCGCCATACACATTCTACCTGACTCTGTAAACATGAAAGCTTATCTGCTCCTCCCTTTCCTTGGCAGTTCCCTCTTTCTCAAGGTTAAGGTCATACAGAGCTGGTGACAACTCCACATATCCTTCCTTTAAAATGCAAAATGCTAGAACTCACTGAGGTAAAGTTAAAAAAGAGGCAGTTTCTGTGAATGAGATTCACAAAGCACCATCTTGGCCAAGTTGGTTCCCATTAGAAATTTGTATGCACCACAGGTCACTTAGGGAACAAGATAGTCTAAGACCCACAGGATTTGAAAGACATTTATATTCCAATAAGCTCCCAGGGAAAATCTTCAAAAATGCACAAAGATAGTTCTAGGTATATACGTATAAATATATATATAATATATTTAGATATTTAGATATAGAAATATATATTATATAAATATATAATGTTATATATGTAATTATATATTAATTGTATAATATATAATGTATAATATATTCTATATTATATATTATAGAATATATTATATATATTCTATATTATATAATATAGAATATATTATATATATTCTATATTATATAATATAGAATATATTATATATATTCTATATTATATATATTCTATAATATAAATACAGATATATCTATTATAAAACAGATACATATATAAGTGTATATATATTATACAATTATATAATTGTATAATATATTCTATATTCTATGTTATATTATATATTATATATTATAGAATATATTATATGTATTCATTATATAAATATAGATATAAATATAGATATATATAGATATATCTATATATAAATATATATATAAATATAGATATATCTATAAATATATATATAAAATATAGATATATCTATATATAAATATATAGATATATCTATATTATAAATTTATATATATATATAATATATATAAAAATATATAAAATAGATATATCTATATATATAAATATATATACATATAGATATATCTATATATAAAAATATATAAATATAGATATATCTATATATATAAATATATATAAATATAGATATATCTATATATAAATATATATAAATATAGATATATCTATATATAAATATATATAAATATAGATATATCTATTATAAAAAATACAGATACATATGTAAGTGTATATAATACAATTATATAATTGTAGAATATATTATACAATTATATAATTATATAATTATATAATTATATAATTATATATATGTATATATAATTATATAATTATATAATTATATAATTATATATGCAATTATATAATTGTAGAATATATTCTACATTATATATTATAGAATATATTATATATTCATTATATAATATAAATACAGATATATCTATTATAAAAAACATAGATACATATATTTTTTCTCTGCTTGGGGCCATGGGGGTTCTAGATATTTTTGATGTTTCTTCCTAAATCTTGGGCAGTGCTTTCCAGTTCACAGAAGAAACGCATGCAAAACGTGTTTACACTAAAAATAACTGTCACTCATCTGACAGGGAGAATGAGATGCTAACCATGCACCCTGAAGGAAGAAGCTTCATCTGGAAACTTCTCATATGCTGTTGGGTTTCCTGCAGCTTATCGGTTATTGACAGAAGGGTAAGTTTCTTTGGTTAAACTTCTGTCTCAGTAATCTTCGATCACTTGCAGAAGGGGTACTCTGGCAAAATACGCTTTTCAATTGACATTTTAATTATCTTGATTTTGGCCACTGAAATGTATGAGGGGGAATGGATGGCAGGGTTATTCAGAGCTGTTTCCTAACTCTATTGCAGCAAATAAATCAGAAAGCAAAGACAGTCAGACATTCATATTTCAGATATAACCAGTAGGTGAGCTTTTTTGCAAGTTGTTCCCCACTCCTCCTGACTTATCTACAATGTACATTTTTCTCTTCCAAGGACACAATTTTTTTTCTTTTCTTTTTTTTTTAAATTTAAAGACAGAGTCTTGCTCTGTCACCCAGGCTGGAGTGCAGCGGCACAATCATGGCACACTGCAGCATCTCAAACTCCCAGGTTCAAGTGATCCTCCTGCCTCAGCCTCCTGAGTAGCTGGGAGTACAGGTGTGTGCCAATGTGCCTAGCTAACTTTTTGTATTTTTTTTTTATGTACACACAGGGTTTCGCCAGGTTGCCCAGGCTGGTCTTGAACTCCTGGGCTCAAGGGATCCTGCCTCCTCAGCCTCCCAAAGTGCTGGGATTATAGGCGTGAGCCATTACACCCGGCCAGTCCCTTTTCCTGTATCAGATATGTACTCTGACTCATCGAAAGTGACCATCTATACTACAGAGGATTTTATCCTTGTCTATCTTTCTCCCTGTCTAATCTTTGTTAGTAGCAATGAAGGACAGGCCCCCAGCTGGTGCATCGACCTGCTCTGCTCTTCAATAGGGCTGCCCCTATGCCCAGGCACAGTTGTAACAGATGCTTCTCAAGAGCTTAGGGCCCCCTCGCTTAGCCCACTTCATCTGGGGTTGCAGAGAAATTTGATTTTGATAGCAATGGCTTCAAACTCAGTTCTCAGAGGCTCCTGAGTAGCTGCTTTTGAAAGGGAAGGAAAAGCCAGGACACTCCCTCAACCTACAACCAGAGCAGTTCTGCTCTTTCTTTTCTCCTCTTCTTCTTTTTAATGTATCAGGGTTCCTCATACCACTTTGTTTGAAAAGAAGGTTCTGTTGGCCAGGCGCGGTGGCTCACGCCTGTCATCCCAGCACTTTGGGAGGCCGAGGCGGGTGGATCACTTGAAGCCAGGAGTTTGAGACTAGCCTGGCCAACATGGCAAAAACCTGTCTTTTTTATTAAAAATACAAAAAGTTAGCCGGGTGTGATGGCATGCGCTTGTAGTCCCAGCGACTTGGGAGGTTGAGGCACGAGAATCTCTTGAACCCCGGAGGCAGAGGGTGCAGTGAGCCGAGATCACATCACTGCATTCCAGCCGGGAAGACAGAGTAAGACTCTGTCTCAAAACAAAAAAAGAGGGTTCTGTTGTGAAAATATGTTTGCGCTCCCTTAAGTGAACTGCGGAATACAGCTTTGAGACCTAGTTTGAAAAATGACAGAAAGTTCATGTTCGTGTGGGTTTTTTCCTTTTCTGGTCACAAAAATGTTCAATTTGCCAGGACATGATGAAGAAAAAAAAAAAGACTACAGCTTTCATCATAAAAGGTAATTAATATTTTTCCATTTTAGCTATGATAACCCTTACATGCATTATGCTATACTTAGAAAATGAGAGCCAATTTATCTTTGCTACACTGGAATTTCCTCAATCCTTGGCTTGTGTTGACAAGAAAAAGTGGTATTTGTTTCATCTTTCCAGGGGAGGCTTTATAGTTTGCTCAAAACAAAAATAAAACCAAAAACTCACAGCCATCCTAATTTCAACAAAGGAATCTTCTGAGGAGCCGCTGGAGTTCAGCTTGAGCTGCAGTTCAGACACGATGCCCAACAGGTCTGCCTTCTCTGCTTGTAGCCTCACCACCTGGGTCCTGAGCTGGTCCTTTTCCTGCTCCGCTTCGGCCCTGGGAAGCCTGGAGTCATCAGTGGGGTCCTGGAGATGACAAGGAGTAAAGTGAATGAACAGATCAAACTAAGGCTGGGCACCATGGGCTCATGCCCTTAATCGCAGAGCTCTGGGAGGCTGAAGTGGGAGGATCCCTTGAGGCCAGGATTTTGAGACCAGCCTGGGCAACATAGCAAGACCCCCATCTTTACAAAAAATTTAATAATTAGCCAGGTGTAGTGGCACACACCTGTAGTCCCCATTAGTTGGGAGGCTGAGGCAGGAAGACTGCCTGAGCCCAGGAGTTTAAGACTGCCAAGACCCTGTCTCAAAAAAAAAAAAAAAAAAGCCAAGCCAGGCGTGGTGGCTCACGCCTGTAATCCCAGCACTTTGGGAGGCCGAGGTGGGCGGATCATGAAGGTCAGGAGATGGAGACCATCCTGGCTAACACAGTGAAACCCCGTCTCTACTAAAAATACAAAAAGATTAGCTGGGCGTGGTGGCGGGCGCCTGTAGTCCCAGCTACTCGGGAGGCTGAGGCAGGACAATGGCGTGAACCTGGGAGGCGGAGCTTGCAGTGAGCCGAGATTATGCCACTGTACTCCAGCCTGGGCAACAGAGCAAGACTCCATCTCAAAAAAAAAAAAAAAAAAAAACAGTCAAAAAACAAATACAAATCAAACTAAGGACCTGGCCATGAGACTCAATTGCCCCCACACCTACTGACAAGGAAGTTTCTCAACACCTTTATGCCTTGTGCTTTAATGTAGAAAATTTCAGCTTTTACCTGACAATTTTTTTTTCCCAGACAGAGTCTCACTCTGTCGCCCATTGGAGTGCAATGGCGCGATCTCAGCTTACTGCATCCTCCACCTCTCGGGTTTAAGCAATTCTCCTGCCTTAGCCTCCCAAGTAGCTGGGACTACAGGCACGCACTACCATGCCTGGCTAATTTTTGTATTTTTAGTAGAGATGGGGTTTCGCCATGTTGGCCAGGCTGGTCTCGAACTCCTCACCTCAGGTGATCTGCCCACCCTAGCCTCCCAAAGCGCTGGGATTACAGGTGTGAGCCACCGTGCCTAGCCCACGATTTATTTTGACATAACATTTAAAATGGAAATTTTTACATTATTTTATTGTATTCAAATAATCAAAATTTAAAGTAACTTCATGACAAGAAAGAAAGCCTTCCTTGCCATGCTGGAATAATCTGATATCATAGAAATAATCAACCACACTTTGGCAACAGTGGACTCATAAGCTGTGTCTAAAATTCCAGAAAGGAAGGAAAAAACGTTCCCACCACCCAACCTCCTGCCCTTTTCCTCCCATCAAAGCCCACCCACACCCATTCTCCCCACACTTGGCATGGACAGCAGAGGACTCCTTAACAAACCACGCCCAGTGGGGATTTCAAACTTGTTCTGGGTTGTGTCATTACTATCATCTTTGACATCCACTCCCAGGTATGAGCACATTTTTCCAGGTTCTTTGGGTTAAGAAAAATGTGTCTCTTTCTCTTTTCATCTGTGGCAATGCGATAGCCTCCTACCACAACATGACATTTTCCAAAGCATTTTTAAAAAGGAAAATGTAAAGTGAATAATCTCCATTTTAGACTGAGAGAACAGACAAGGTCAACAAGTAAAAATTCTGAGTAATGGGTTTTTTAAACATATTTTTTATATCAAAGACAAACTAAAAACAATTGTTGGTTCTAGGCAGAGGCCCATCTGCACCATCTATAATGAATACAATACAATGATTTATAACCTTACTGTTCTTTTGCCTACAATCAGTACGGTCAAAGCTTTACAAATTTCTTTCTTCTAAAAGAGATTATCCATGACCCTTAATAGGGCAACCAATCTTTTCAGCAAAAGCACTTCTTCCAAGACCAGGCAAAACACCAATCCAGACTGAACCATGAAAGGTTTTGATCTAGGAGTCTAGACACGTAAGATTCCACTGCAAATGTCAAGGGAAAAAAAAAAAACAACATCACAATGGATCGGTCTGCTCACCTCAGATGACCTTTCTGATTTCCCTTTTAGTTTTCCAAGCTCTTCCTTCAATTTCTCATTCTCATGACTCAAGGCCATTAGACGCTCTTTTGCTTCTTTGCTCTGTATCTCAAAAAACTGGCGTTCTTCCTTCTGTTTCTCTGTCCAGGCCGAAAGCTCCTCAAATCTCCCTTTCATGGCTTGATTATTTAGCTTCATGGCTTCTGCAGGAGGTTCAGAGTGATGGAGTCACACACCAGGAAAGTGGACTTGATCTGATGAACCAAATCTCCCTCTAGTCCACTTGACCACATGGCTCTGAATTGAAAGATGCCATGCTTAGCCTTGGCCCAAGGGTCAGCAGCAAAAAGACGAAGTGGTTTTTGCTTACAGAAAAGACTAGCGGGATGAACATCATTTCTAGTCCTTAAAAATCCCAAGAAAATAAAGTGGATTTGGGTACCGCCACTACAGCACAAATATCTAAATATCTATGGTTACTAGGAGCTAAGGAAGTTCTTACTACTCCTAGATTCAAATACTGGTCCTGCCCAAAGCCATCTTGAGATACCAGGATGCTTTCTCTTAATAAGGTAATATATAGGACTAACTCTGGAACCATAGCAGCCTTTCTTCCTTTTTCCTTTTTTTTTTTTTTTTTTTGAGTCAGGGTCTCTCTCTGTCATCCAGGCTAAAGTGCAGTGGCACGATCATGGCTCACTGCAGCTCCAACTTCCCAGGCTCAAGCAATCCTCCAACCTCAGCATCCCCAGTAGCTAGGACCAGAGGCGTGCACCACCACGCCCAGCTTTTTTTTTTTTTTTTTAATTTTTTTGTAGAGATCAGGTCTTGCCATCTTGCCCAGGCTGGTCTTGAACTCCTGTACTCAAGCAATCCTTCTGCCTCGGCCTCCCAAAGTGATGGAATGACAGGCATGAGCCACCACGCCCAGCCTCTTTTTCCTTTTGAATGGGCTAAATATCATTATGCTACTTCCTTGAGATACACACAGTTTTTACTTGTACCTGTTTCCAAAAGTAAAAATCAGAACAGATTTAGCCTTGCCAAATGCTAAATCCTGTGCTTCCCCACCAGCTACCACCTATGGAAACGGGGAGAAGGGAGCTCACCACCAAGCCTTAGTGCAAAGGGATGGCATTTCTTGCAGGCCCAGGATGAATGGGGCACACAGGGGCCAGCCCTGCTCACCTTTCAGCTGGTGGTTCTCGGTCAGGAGCTCTTTCATCTGCTGCAGCAGCTCCTCCGGGGTAAACGTGTCCAGGTTTGGGTGGGCCAGGTGGGGGGGTCCATTTCCTGTGCTTTCACTGGGGCTGTCCTCCTTTTCAGTGAGGCAGCTGAGAGGTTGATGGGACATTGCAGAAGTTCCTGTGGAAAAGTCACCTGTTGAAAATAGAGCTGTCCCCCGCCCCACAAGGGGTCCCCGGGAGTCCCACAAACCCATTGGCGATTGCTAATACTTACTCCAAAAGTTGCCCACTTTCTCTCCAGTTACATTTTGGACATTTTTGATTCTTCCTTTTAAACAAAAAAGGTATATGTAGCTTCAGAAAAGTGTGTGTGTGTGTGCACGCGCATGTGTGCATGTGTGTGTGTGCGTGTGTGTGTATGGGTGTATAAAAGGGTACAATGAGGGCCGGGCGTGGTGGCTCACGCCTGTAATCCCAGCACTTTGGGAGGCCGAGGCGGACAGATCATGAGGTCAGGAGATTGAGACCATCCTGGCTAACACAGTGAAACCCCGTCTCTACTAAAAATACAAAAAATTAGCCGGGCTTGGTGTTGGGCGCTTGTAGTCCCAGCTACTCGGGAGGCTGAGGCAGGAGAATGGCGTGAACCCGGGAGGCAGAGCTTGCAGTGAGCCAAGATCGCGCCACTGCACTCCAGCCTGGGCAACAGAGCGAGACTCCGTCTCAAACCAAAAAAAAAAAAAAAGGGTACAATAAGGATTTGGGAAATGGGGGAGGGAGACGAGGGTATGACATCATGATGATCAGGATATATGTAGACATGGGCAAGGTATCATGAAAAAAATTTCCCATGCAAATCTTCAAATTCAAATCTCCTTATTTCAAGTAAATTGCATGGTAAGTGAATTCTATCTCAAAAAAGCTGTTTTAAAACCTATATTTAGTTTATTGTGTTTTTGGTTAAGAAGAAAGGGAGAATTAACATTCTTTGAATGCTTACTATGTGCGGACTCAGCACACCAGGCCTGTCACTGACTAATCTTCATTAATGCTGAACCAGGCAGCTGTTTCAAAGGTGAGGAAGTTGGGTTTACAGAGGCGTACGGCTCATCCAAGGCCAGGAAGTGGCACCACCAGCTATCAAAGCCACACCTTGTAAAACAACAAAGTTATATTACTGAGTACTTAGGCTTTAATAGTCTATTTTTCAATGCATACTGAAAAGACTAAGATATCTTTAGGTATTGCATGGTCTGAAATTTTTTTACACATATCATTTTGTTTTGTAGAGGCATCCATGTGGACATAGAAATGCAAGACCAATGAGTAAATCCCCACTCTGCTTCTGTGTTACCAACCACCCAGGCAAACATGTTTCAGCACAAATTTCCACCTTCACACTTGGTGAAAATGATGTATTTTCTTCAAGAGCTGATGGGGATAGATTATAAAGCAATACATAGCAAAGGCAACTCCTCCCCGCTGACGCTGTGTACACATGGCCCACACACGCATTCTACAAAGGTCAAGAATGGCCAAAGTCCAGAGACATGCCTGAAAAAGCATATTATTTACTTCCAGGATGTTTACTGTTAGAAGATTGTTTTTGAGCCGGGCGCGGTGGCTCACGCCTCTAATCCCAGCACTTTGGGAGGCTGAGGCGGGCAGATTACGAGGTCAGGAGATCGAGACCATCCTGGCTAACACGGTGAAACCCTGTCTCTAATAAAAAAAATACAAAAAATTAGCCAAGCATGGTGGCAGGTGCCTGTAGTCCCAGCTACTCCGGAGGCTGCGGCAGGAGAATGGCGTGAACCCAGGAGGCAGAGCTTGCAGTGAGCCGAGATCGTGCCACTGCACTCCAGCATGGGCGACAGAGTCTCAAAAAAAAAAAAAAAAAAAGACTGTTTTGGTTTTTTGAGAGTCTCTCTCTGTTGCCCAGGCTGGAGTGCAGTGGAGCGATCTCGGCTCACTGCAACCTCCACCTCCTGGGTTCAAGTGATTCTCCTGACTCAGCCTCCCAAGTAGCTGGGACTATAGGCGTCAGCCACCATGCCTGGCCAATTTTTGTATTTTTAGTAGAGACGGGGTTTCATCATGTTAGCCAGGCCGGTCTCGAACTCCTGACTTCAGGTGATCTGCTGGCCTCGGCCTCCAAAAGTGCTGGGATTACAGGCATAAGCCACTGCTCCTGGACCTTAGAAAATAATTTAAAATCCATCTATCCAATAAATAGGTATTAAGCACCAATGTACACTATACAACTGTGATCAGGCAGAAAGCCACGCATGCACAAAAGGGGTGAGGAGAGAACTTGGAAGCGAGCATCCCATTTCTAACGGGGGAAAGGCACTGGTCTCAATGAGATCCATCAGCCACTCATGACTATGGAGCCTGTGTGAACCCTGAGTTGTGAAGAATCCATTACACATGATATCAGTCCCTGGAAGATAGAGATAAGAGCACTGCCTGTTTCTGACATGTAACTGTGTCATGAT
Organism: Homo sapiens; assembly: GCF_000001405.40. Lineage (NCBI taxonomy): Eukaryota > Metazoa > Chordata > Mammalia > Primates > Hominidae > Homo > Homo sapiens. The sequence goes on along the minus strand of NC_000010.11, from coordinate 13,106,791 downwards.
ATCTATGTGTGCATTTAATAGCCATCAATTAAAATAAAACAAAATGCACCACTGTGGTGTTGCGTCCTTGGCCACAGGAGGCAATACCTTGGGCTTTCTGTAGATCTTCTGGAAGCAATACCTGGTAACCTCCTTTTGGTGTGAGGAACTTGTAGGTAATCAGAGACAGAGCTACCTACCACACCCTGTGACAGTACAGCCTGTGCCACTTCTTCCTACAAGAGCTAGTACCAAGAGGGGCATTCTCATGTAGTCATGTAATGAGGGTGATGGCAATCTTACGAAGCAGAAAACACTGATAAACCATAGGATTCATTTTTGAACTTTTTGTATCTATGTGTCACACACCCAAATTCACTTAGAAAACAGGTATAATGCAGAAGTGTTCCATAGCTTAGCATTAGGTGACTAGAACAGACTGCTCTTCTTCTCACAAAAATAATCTGAATAGACCATCAGTTTCTAATTTTCTGTAAAATTCATTTTTTTGTACCCAGAATCATCTCATTAAAATAGGGTTTTACTGAGTAACAGTGTTCCTACCTAATTTGCAGAGGAATACTAAAATTCTAGGTAATAGACCTAAAAGAGAAAATCCTTGTCATCTGTATCATTTACTTGCCAACAGTTAATTTTTCTTAGGTATTCAGTGATTATACTATATTTTGCAAAGGCCATGAAAATATTCAACAGATTTTTTTAAAGAAAGGATCTAAGCAGATTTTTAGAAGTGTGTTTGGTTTCATCTTATTATATGCACAAATTTCTCCTTTTTTTCTGAAAATGAAAGGAAGGGGAGGGGAGAAGAGAGGGAAGAAAAGAGAGAGACGTTTCTTTGAAAACTGTTAAGATTTTTTTCCTCAATGAACTTTTTTTTTTTTTTCAGACAGAGTCTCACTTTGTCGCCCAGGCTGGAGTACAGTGGCACAATCTCAGTTCACTGCAACCTCTGCCTTTCAGATTCAAGTGATTCTCCTGCCTCAACCTCCCAAGTAGCTGGGATCACAGGCATGTGCTACCACACCCGGCTAATTTTTGTATTTTTAGTAGAGACAGGGTTTTGCCAAGTTGGCCAGTCTGGTCTTGAACTCGTGACCTCAGGTGATCCACCCATCTCAGCCTCCCAAAGTGCTGGAATTACAGGCTTGAGCCACGGTGCCGGGCCCCTCCATGACCTTTTATGCCTCCACCAAGCCTACAGATACCACCATAATAAAGTTAAAACTGGTTCTAGTTGTTACATCAGTGTTTCTGACTTCTCACATTGCCCGGATTTTATAAGCATACGAGGAAAAAAGTGGGGTCGTGCTAAGGGAGGCCACAGAAAAAAACATTTGTACCATTAGCCAGATGTGTGGCCTTGGGAAGTCACATGACCTCTAGTGGTATTTATTGACTCATCCAGCAAATGATAATCCTTATGAACTCTGTGAAAAATATTCTTTAGTTTCTAGAAAGACCACAATCTAAACCCCACCCTTCAATGCATATACACCAAGTATCACGGGCAGGCCAGTCACTCTCATGAATAGCTATAACTGTCCTAATGACAGCAAATTCTGTGATATTGTGTATTGTTAGAAAAAATATTTTGTAATTCAAATGTCATCAAACATAAGAAGTTAGCATAAACGGTAAATATAAGCATGTAAATACTTAATACCAAAATTTTACTAAAAGTAATTTAATTGATGCCGGGTGCAGTGGCTTATGCCTGTAATCCCAGCACTTTGGGAAGCCAAGGTGGGCAGATCATTTGAGGCCAGGAGTTTGAGATCAGCCCAGCCAACATGGTGAAATCCCATCTCTACTAAAAATACATAAATTAGTAGCAGAGCTCGCACGTCGGCGTAGTTACCACCAGCAGCCACTGCACCTCTTTCTGGCCGACTCGCCTCCCGGTCCTGCGGTCGGGCCCCTGGTCACCCCCATGCTGTCCCTTCTTCGTTCCTTGAAGATCTCGAATGCCACCTTTTGTTGAACATCTCGAATAGCATCATGTTCTAACCAGATGGCTAGAAGGGATTTATGGACAAGAAGTTATCATTGAAATTAAATGGTGGCAGACACGTCCAAGGAATATTGCAGGGACTTGATCCCTTTATGAATCTTGTGATAGATGAATGTGTGGAGATGGCGACTAGTGGGCAACAGAACAATACTGGAATGGTGGTAATACGAGGAAACAGTATCCTCATGTTAGAAGCCTTGGAATGAGTATAAAAAATGGCTGTTCAGCAGAGAAACCCATGTCCTCTCTCCATAGGGCCTGTTTTACTATGATGTAAAAGTTAGGTCATGTACATTTTCATATTAGACTTTTTGTTAAATAAATTTTGTAATAGTAAAAAAAAAAAAAAAAAAAAGTAGCTGGGTGTAGTGGTGCATGCCTGTAGTCCCAGCTACTCGGGAGCTGAGGCATGAGAATCGCTTGAACCTGGGAGGCAGAGGTTGCAGTGAGCTAAGATCATGCTACTGCACTCCAGCCTGGGTGACAGAGTGAGACCCTGTCTCACAAAAAAAAAAAAAAAAAAAAAGAAAAAAAAACTAATTTAACTGATTTTGGATGACTCAAAGGGCACTTCATAATTCTTAGGTTATCTTAGGACATCACTATGAGCTATCACTGTGCAGTGCACATATGAAATATCTGTCGGTGGAATGCCAGTTACAGAAAGCTTCATTCTCTGTTTTTAACATCACCTTGAGCTACATTCAACTGAGGAAAGACAGAGATACATTACATATCCTTGCACATGTCTTCGAAGGTTACAGAAATTGGAACTAAGCCATTTATTCTAAGATTCTATCAAATAACAGAGTTTCCCATAATCAACTGACCTAGATGTGAAGTATGTTATTTCTAGGCAAAAGTGATATTTAATGATGGAAGGATGAATTAATTGAGCACAGGATTTGTCAAGATTCCACCAATGAGGAAGACTGAGGACTGCCTAGTAGATGGATGGCCAAAAGCAAGTCCCCTAGATTTTATTCCCAGATCTGCTATCTCAATTCCTGATTGTGTGTGTGTGTGTGTGTGTGTGTGCATGTGTGTGTATATACATTTAAATTCCAGAGATCAAGTAATTCTAGTAATGACCTGACCTTGTAAACACGAGCATACATCTGATTGCTGAGTTGGCCTTAGAAATGATCCAGACCAATATATTCAATGCAAGAATGTCTTGTCTGGTTTCGATGGCACATGATCCTATAGAGCAGGCTTGAGTATTTCAATGACAGAGCACGAGTGCAGTGACCTTAGCAGGCACTGTCTGTTCCACTGTGGGATGGCTCTAGTGGTCAGAAAGTCATAATGTGTCAAATGGTACCTGCCTTACACTGACTTCCCCCCAGTGGACACTGCACATAGTATAAGGTTAGGCCCTTGCCCTGGTATGGCCAAGTCTTCAAATTTGCTAATGAAGTATTCGTAGGTTCAATCCCTACATGGGATAAATGAGTTTTAAACAGTGAAAACTTGCTTTTTGACCAGAGACAAGAGTTGGCTACTGGCAAATGCTATGAAGAGTTTGGGTTCACAAGGGGGGTAAGATTCTAACATTGCATTGACTAAACCCTTCCCACCTTGGAAAAAGAACTTAGAGTATGCATCCTACTAATGGGGTAAAAGCAGCCTCGTCATTACACACTAGAAGGGATATTGTGACTTCGTATTTTAGTAATATACAGAAAATGGCAGCAGCTTTAACCTAGCTCCCCAAGGCAGGAACCTGGGAGTAAGGCTTGATTCTTCCCAGCCCCCTTTTCCCCAAGTCTAATGGGTCACCAAATGCCATCACCTCTACCTCCTAAATATTTATTTTTTCTTTTTTTTTTTAAATTAAGACTCAGTCTCACTCTGTCGCCCAGGCTAGAGTGCCGTGGCAAAATCTCAGCTCACTGCAACCTCCGCCTCCCAGGTTCAAGCAATTCTCCCACCTCAGCCTCCCAAGTAGCTGGGATTACAGGTGCATGCCACCATTCCCAGCTAATTTTTGTATTTTTAGTAGAGACAGGGTTTTGCCACGTTGGCCAGGCTGGTCTTGAACTCCTGATCTCAAGTGATCCACCCACCTCGGCCTCCCTAAGTGCTGGGATTACAGGCATGAGCCACCATGCCTGGCCCTTCTAAGTGTTTCTAAAATCCACTGCCTCCTCTCCATCCCCACAGGCTTAGTTCAGGCCCTTATCTTGTCTGTACCACAGCCATGTTGACCTCCACAAAGGACAGGGGTTCTGCCTATTTTGTCCACTGCTGTATCCCCAGGACTGAGAACATTACTTGCCACATAGAAGGCAGGACTCGGTAAATATCTGTTGAATACATTTTAACAGCCTCCTAAATGACTGGCTTTCAGCCCTGTCAATTTCAGTCCTCTTGCCCTCATGGTTTCTTTTGCAATATGAGGTCATTCCCCTGAGTCCACCCTTCCCATACACGACAGACTTTCAGTTTCTTAACAAGACAAACGTGGCCTTTCAGGGCCCAGGCCCAACTGACCCACCAGAGTCACCTCCTGCCACCAAAACACTCGTACCCAAGGCACGTTAAAGAGCTCACGGTTCCCTGCATTCTTCTGTCTCTGCGTCCTTGCCTCCCTTCTGCCCTCTGCCCGAAATGTCTGGCTCCCCTTGTGTCCTGGCAAACTTCCACTGGACAGATCAATGTCCAGCTTAAATATGATGTCCTGTGTCATATGAACTGTTCCCTACTCCGAGCACCCAAGAACACTCTGCATTTCCACCTCCTCCGCCCATTCTGAAATTACTGCTATCGTCTGCCCGTCTATTTTCTCTCCATGTTATTCTTACTAGAGACTGGCACATAGCAGGCTTGCAGTAAATGTTGGTTGAAATGAAATGAAAATATAGCATAATGAGGTATTTTTAAGTCTAATACCTGTAAAATGCTTTCTGCTGTGTAGGTGACAAACTCAGCATGCCAGTATTGTTAGGAGTTTCTCCACAGTTCCACGGCATTCACTTCCAGATTCTCAAAATCCTCCTTTCTAACTTATTTGAAAAATTAGAAGTGTTTTCTGTCACTGCAAAGCCATCTGGGTATCACTTCATAACACAGATTCTAATGCTCCTCATACACATGTCAAAGTGGAAATAACAAAAACTTTTAATTTTTTCTTTCTAAATGAAATATTTTTTTAAAAAAAAGTTTAATTTTTTTCTTTTTCCTTTGGGTTTTCTATTTCATAAATTCCAAAGAACATATATCAAATATGCCAAATCTCTATAAAACAGAAGGTGTATTTCATGGCCAGAATACTTATGCGCCTCTACCTAAGTAAGGGCGGGGGTTCGGCAGGACATAATACAGTGTCCAGTTGCCCTCGAGAATAAAGTTTGGTTTTCCGGGGGTGGGTGGGGGGGTGGGGGGGTGGAGGTTAGGTTAGTTATATTCCTAGCATAATATGCAACCTAAAGGTTAGTTTATAAAAAAAGAAGCTGTTACTTTTATTGTGTTGTACGTAATATATAAAGAACGCCTAAAATTGGCCCAGTGGAAAAACAGATGAATTATGCCAGGACTTAAATCAATGATCGTCCTCTGTCTACAGGTCACATTTAAACTTGCCTTGTCCACTCCAGGGCAATCCCTGGCCTTGGGGTCTGCCCTGGGACTTCTCCAGCCCCCGCCCCAAAACTGGGCCTGTCCTGGGAGGCAGCCTGGCACCACTAACTCTTCTCTCCCTGGGTCAAAAGAGCAAGGTGGGTTCTTCTGTTCACACAGCCTGCACCTTGCTAACCAGATCCAAAGGCTTCTGAGGTCCTCACATTGCCTTACTTTTCTATGCTTTCATTTTCCATTTCATCCTTACAAACAGTTCCTTGGTGTACATTTCCATACAACAGTTTTCCTGCTGGTGGAGGCCAGGTCGGAACCTGGGTTTCATTTTCTTTGAGCGATGTTTACTTCCTGTAGCTTATGCATTTCGATGGCAAAAACAATTCCTTTGGGGTTCTCGGCCTCATCAAATATTCTCTCTATATAGAGTGTACACACTCTCCTAGACACAGCAGTCTATGTGGATTCCCACCGACCCTGGGCACCTCATTCAGCTCGGGTAGTGGTCCCATGTCTCCCACAGGCGTGTCTGTAACCACCTCCTTATGGCGAGGAACTGGCTGCGGAATCCTTCCCAGCCTGCGGGAGGACGTCACCTCCAAGTCTCTGGGTGACTTGTAGAGGGGTTACCTGCGGCCAAGAGGCCGGCCCTGGACCCTTCTTGGGCCCACCCTGTGTTCACTACCCACCCTCTCCCACCAGGTCAGGACCCGCCGAGGCTTGGGGATCCTCCCAGGGCAGCCGTCTCGCGGGAGGGCCGCCCCACCCCTCGCCACCCTCACCCCGACAGGCTCCGGGCCGCGGGGCAGGGCGGCGGGTACCGTTTTCAGGCCGCGGAAGCGCCCGCCGGGAAGGAGCCGCCGCCCCCTCGCCCACCGCTGCAGCCCCCTGCCCTGGCTCACCTGCCGCCCGGCTTGGCTTCGCTCAGGGTCACTGTTTCCTCGGCATCGTGCCGCCTGGAGAGAACTCCCGACCGGGATGGGACGCTGACCAGGGAACCTGCCGGCGGGCGGCGGCGGTGGCGGAGGGGGCAGCCGGGACTGGGGTGCCTAGGGCTGATGCGCGGCCTGGCGACCCCGCCCAGCGCGGCTCAGCTGACAGCCAGCCGCTCCCTGCCCGCGCCGGGGAATTTCCCGGGCCCCGCCCATCCCATACCCCGCCCATCCCCCCCACCCTGCCCATTCCATACCCCACCCGACCAAGGCCCCGCCCCTCCTCTTTCCTGCGTCCGCCCCCAGCTACCCACCCTCGCTGTCCGTGCGGGGTCGAGGCTGGGACCCGGGTGAACAGGGACTGCTCTAAGGCGTCACTGTGACGGCGTTAATCAAAATAAATCATTAATCAAATGCAGTGTGCGGAGTTCGTCTTCCCCGTGTCTTCCCGCAGATCCCGTAGTGGAGGCTGGAGCCGCAGGGGGTCGCTGCCGCCCACAGAAAGAGGAGAATGCCAGGCATCCTCGGAGGGAGGCCTCCATCTGTGTTTTTTGAAAAAAGGTTAACATCTAGACATAGTTAACTGAGCATACATAGCTTTCCACTCGTTTTTGCTTTAAAATACACTCAAAAAGCAGAAAGCCTGCAGGATGCTTCTTGGGCTCTTGTTGCGGACGAATAGGCTCGGCTATTCTTGTTGCTGAAGAATAGCCTCTGCTGGTGTGGAGGAGGGAAGCTGCCCCCGGATTAGACAGCAGGATGACAAGGTAGGAGCGAGAGCCGCCCTATGTGCATCCAGAGTACCCGGGTAGCGCTGCAGGGATGGGAGGGAGGGAAGGAGGGAGGGGGAGAGAGAGAGAGAGGGAGGGACGGAGAGAGGGAGAGAGGGAGGGAGAGAGGGAGGGAGGGAGAGAGGGAGAGAAAAAAAACAAAACAACAACAACAAAACCTAATCTGAAACAGGAAAAAGGCAGATGCGCCCTCTCCTGGTATCTCCGAAGGATTCTGCTTCGCTGTCTGGACCTCCTGCTGCCTGGCCAAGCCTGACTCTCAACCCTGCCCCTGAGGCTAACCCCAAGAGCAGGGCAGAGAAGCAAGCAAGTCAGCGACTGCCCCAGACCCAATTCCGGGCCCTCGAGTTGGTGTGGTGTAGGAGGGGCAGATGAGGCTAGAGGCTGCTTTATAAGGAGTGAGCCTGGGGGTGGGAGTGGGGAGAAATAGAGAATTTAAAAAAATTCTTTTTATATCAGTGCAGGAGGGCCAGGCGCGGTGGCTCACGCCTGTAATCCCAGCACTTTGGGAGGCCAAGGCAGGCAGATCGCAAGGTCCGGAGTTCGAGACCAGCCTGGCCAATATGGTGAAAGCCTGTCTCTACTAAAAATACAAAAATTAGCCGGGCATGATGGTACTCTCCTGTAGTCCCAGCTACTCGGGAGGCTAAGGCAGAAGAATCGCTTGAACCCGGGAGGCAGAGCTTGCAGCGAGCCGAGATCATGCCACTGCACTCCAGCCTGGGTGACAGAGTGAGACTCCGTCTCAAAAAAAAAAAAAAAAAAAAAAAATCAGTGCAGGAAATAACTGATCATTCATGAAAAGGGCTTGGAAAAATATATACAGAGAGAAATGGAATGACGATCTCTAATTTTTGTTTATCTACTGGGATAATCCAGGCAGAAAAGACGGTGTCACAGCTGTACCCTGGGATCGGCAGAAAAGGGTCCCCCCGGGGCCTGTAAGGGGTGCCTGCGGTAAGTCGTACTTCACTAGGCTCCTTTTACTGTTTAAAACCCTATAGGTGGGGCACGGTGGCTCACACCTGTAATCCCAGCACTTTGGGAGGTCAAGGCAGGAGGATCGCTTGAGCCCAGGAGGGAGAGGCTGCAATGAGCTGTGATTGCAGCACTGCACTCCAGCTTGGGTGAGAGGGAGACTTTGTCTCAAGCAAAAACAAAAACGAGAACAAAACAACACTATGAAAGTGAATTAAAATGAGCATCAGTGAAACTCAGAGCCAAGAGAAGAAGGTCACCCACAAGCTGCCCATGGCTTTGGTGTGGGAGGCTCGAGGTGAGTTTCTGGTACAGAAAGCAGTCAAAGTTGTTTTCTCCTGATTCCTTGCTCTCAGTGGTGGGGTCGGGGTGGGGGGTGCCCTGAAGCACTGCACACACACATGCACACACACTCCCCCGACAACCACTTCTTAGCTGTAGGACCTTGACCAAGTTACTTCATCTTACCCTTCCTCATTCCCTTTATCTGTAAAATGGGGAGTATAGTACACTCCCAAATCCAGAAAGTTCTAAGGACCAAACCTCTTTTCTGACCAGACCCAACTGATGGAAAGCTATTTACAGTCTTTATTTAGATCCCTTGATGTGATTTTTAAATTTGTTTTGTGAAGGAAAATCGAATAGTTGATAGGAGAACTGCGTCAGACAGTGTCAGGGTGTTATGTGATATAAATCCCATTTATTGAATAGCCTTTTGAAAATCCCCAGAATTCTGGACTCTAAAGCAGAGCTTGCCCCAAAGGTTTTATTTTATTTTTTGAGGTGGAGTCTCACTCTGTTGCCCAGGCTGGAGTGCAGTGGCATAATCTCAGCTCACTGCAATCTCCACCTCCTGGGTTTGAGTGATTCTCCTGCCTCAGCCTCCCAAGTGGCTGGGATTACAGGCGTGTGCCACCACACCAAGCTAATTTTTGCATTTTTCGTATTGATGAGGTTTCGCCATGTTGACCAGCCTGGTATTGAACTCCTGACCTCGGGTGATCCACCTGCCTCGGCCTTCCAAAGTGCTGGGATTACATGTGTGAGCCACGGTGCCCAGCCACCCAAAAATTTTAGATAAGGCCTCTGGACCCACAGCCCTCACCTAAGGATGCTGAGAAGATTAAAGAGGAAATACGTCTTCAACACCTAGAAGAACGCCTGGCTCATGGTGTTTGTTGCTGTTGCTTGTGTTAGAGCCGGTTCTGTTTCTTAGCCTGGATCATCCCGTTTGGTGACTCCATCTTCCTGCACACTTCCATGGGTAGATGGAATCTAAATGCAGCGAAAAAACTGAAATAATAGCATGCTCTTAGCTGATTTGTTGATGTGGTTTTGTGGTGGGTAAATGTAGAGCAGTGTGGGAAGGTTTTTAGTGAGATCCTAATCTGGGTTTGATGTTCCTTGTGTTCCCTTTCCACCCCAATCTCCTCTGTTTGGAGTTAGCAACGAGTCCCTTTGGGCTTCCTACCTTCAGGAGCGTTGGCTGGACTCCTGGCAACAGCTCTTAGAAGTACAGCCTTTCTTCTTGTCTTTTGAGAAAGCCTGATCTCAATACATCCATGATCTACCCCAGATGTCCTGGAGGAAGAGCCAGAGCTGGGTGGGGTGGAGGCTTTCACAACAGTTGGAGGGAGGAGTGACTCCCCCGCCCCCAGATTGGGAGGAGGAGTGGGATGGTGGTCTTATGAGCATCAAGGACTCAAGCCTCAGTCCCTGCAGCACCCAGACAGACAGCAAGCTCTTGGGATGCACCTACTGGACTTTGGGAACCTCCCGCAGATTCTGCTGCCCAGGCTTGTCATTGGAAACAGCAGAGACTGTTCCCTAGAAGAACCATTTGATAATGAGGGTATCAGTGGCAATGTTGCTGGGCTGAAAAATAAATGGCCCTTACTTCAATGGGTACCAAAAGCCCTCCTGGAGTTTTGCATGGCCGTAGGGAAGGAGACCTCCCCTCTCCAGACCCCAGTGGTGCCCGAAAATAGGTTTCCGTACACCCCTGCAGAACTGGGTTTAAAGAAAGTAAAGAGGCCCAGGGCGGTGGCTCACGCCTGTAATCCCAGCACTTTGGGAGGATCGTTTGAGGTCAGGAGTTCAAGACCAGCCTGGCTAACATGGTGAAACCCTATCTCTACTAAAAATATAAAAATTAGCCAGGCAGTAGTGGTGCGTGCCTGTAATCTCAGCTACTTGAGAGGCTGAGGCAGGAGAATTGCTTGAGCCTGGGAGTCAAAGGTTGCGCTGAGCCAAGATGGTGCCACTGCACTCCAGCCTGGGCCATGGAGTGAGACTCTGTCCAAAAAGAAAGAGAGAGAGAGAGAGAAGGAAGAAAGGTAAGAAGGAGGGAAGGAAGGAAGTAGAGAGAGAAAGGAAGGAGGGAAGGAAGGAAGGAAGGAAAAGAAAAGAAAAGATATGTAATATTTTTATGTGCATCTGAGGTGGTAGACTAATATTCGTACTTGCTACCCCAGATGCCAAAGACTACATATGCTATGACTCCATATACATTAAATGTCCAGAAAAGGAAAGTAGAAAAAGACAGAAATCAGACCAGTAGTTGCCTGAAATTGGGGGTGGCTTTGAACTGCAAAGGAACTCGAGGGGATTTTTGGGGGATGATGGAAATATACTAAATTTGAATTGTAATGATGGTTTTACAACTTTTTAAGTGTAATTGAAAGCCATGAATCATACATTTACAAATGGGGTGAATTTTATGGCATGTGGATTATACCTCAATAGAGCTGTACAAACACCACCAAAAAGAACACGACCTAATAATTATGTCCAATAAAGCAGGGGTCCCCAAACCCCGGGTGGTGAACCAGTACTGGCCTGTGGCCTCTCAGGAACTAGACCGAACAGCAGGAGGTGAGCAACGGGTGGGTGAGCATTATGGCCTAAGCTCCGCCTCTTGTCAGATCAGCAGCTGCATTAGATTTTCATAGGAGCGTGAACCCTATTGTCAACAGAACATGCAAGGGATCTAGGTTGCGTGCTTCTTATGAGACTCTAATGCCTGATGATCTGAGGTGGACCCATTTCATCCCAAAACCACCCCCCCACCCACCACCATCCATGGAAAAATTGTCTTCCATGAAACCAGTTCCTGGTGTCAAAAATGTTGGGGACTGCTGCAGCAAAGGGTGTGCCCCTGCTCCTGTGAGGCCACTGGTGTGGTCGCTGCATGAATCATCTGCCCTATGGTTGACCTTGGTCTGGACTTTGTCTCAGCTTTAGTTTGATTCAGTTCATCACTGGTTCCAAATATTCCGAGGATGAGTTCCTTGGAAAGTTAAACAGAGAGTTATGATATGACCCAGCAATTCCACTTCTAGGTGTACACTCCAAAGAAACTGAAAACAGAGACTCAAACAGGTGCGTGTCTATGCCTCTAATAGGTTGCTTTCCTTTCCCTGAAATCCAGCATGAAAGCAACTCCCTGTATGAGAAGCAAGGTGTATGGTTGAAGCCTCCATCAGAATGAGGCTCTGGGATTAGGGTCCAACCTACAGCCTCAGCCAAGTACCCAGAGTCCCAGGGACCATGGCTCTGCTTTGAGACAAGCCTGTTCACGGTGTGTGTGCTGTGCTAAGCTCCTCCTTCCTCTCCTTCCTCCCATGTTTTTTGTTTGTTTGACAGAGCATCTTGCTCTGTCACCCAGGCTGGAGTGCAGTGGCATAGTCGTGGCTCACTGCAGCCTCGAACTCCTGGGCTCAAGCAATTCTCCCACCTCAGCCTGCCAAGTAGCTGGGACTATAGGCATGCACCACCATGCCTGGCTAATTTTTGTATTTTTTGTAGACATAGGGTTTCACCATGTTGCCCAGGCTGGTCTTAAACTCATGACCTCAAGTGATCCTTCCACCTCGGCCTCCCAAAGTGCTGGAATTACAGACATAACTCTCTGTGCCGGGCCTGCCTCATGTTTAAAAATCTTGAAATAGGCCGGGCACAGTGGCTTACACCTGTAATCCCAGCACTTTGGGTGGCTGAGGTGGGCGGGTCATGAGGTCAAGAGATCAAGACCATCCTGGTCAACATGGTGAAACCCCATCTCTACTAAAAAAACAAAAATTAGCTGGGCATGGTGGCACACGCCTATAGTCCCAGCTACTAGAGGCTGAGGTAGGAGAATCTCTTGAACCTGGGAGGTGGAGGTTGCAGTGAGCCGAGATCGTGCCATTGCACTCCAGCCTGGGTGAGTATCATCATCATCATCATCATCATCATCATCATCATCATCATCATCATCATCTTGAAAAGTAAACTCACTGGGAAAGAGCCAGGTATTTACCCCTTAGGTTATGGTTGGCCCTCTGTAAATAATAGATAAGAATGCTGCTTATTAATTACTTCCTATGCCTGTCCCATTAGAACCTGTCTAATCCCTGCCGCCTTTTGTACCAAATCAAAGCACAGCACCGATGAAATGTTAAGTCTTTGCTTCCTTGTTTTGCTACAAAACTGTCATGAGTTCCTTTAGCAAAATTTTCTGTTTAAGTATTAATTAGCCAGAGCTGGTGATTTGGGAAAATAATCACTGTAATGCACCACAGTTCCTCGTCATTGTCTGAAAAATACTATCATTATCTTCTTTGCATGCCTGAGGAGTGAAAAATGGCCTGGCTGTCTAATTTTAGACATAGTTTTAGCTTCTTTGGATTAAATAATTGATCAGTAGTAGGAAAGTACAAGTGATTTGTCTTTTTTCCATCTCACTTATTTTTTTTCCAAACTAAGGTGTCTCACTTCTCTGAAAAAGTGCATGGTGGAGTGAGGGAGGACACAGAGACCTGGGTATCAGGCTACCTCGGCCCTACCTGAGAACTCACCCCTAGGCCTTGACCTCTTCATCAGTGAGGGAAGTCAGGGGCTAAGATAGATAACCTCTTAGCTTCTCTCCAGCTTGAAAAAAATTAGAATTTGTTTTTCATTTCTTATATTTGGTATACAATTTTAGTAGATGCCAAATTAATTTGAATTTAAGCCTCTTCCTTCTGTAGAGGTTGACTTAATACTTGGCTGGTGATATGGTTTGGCTGTGTCCCCACCCAAATCTCATCTTGAATTGTAGCTTCCATAATTCCCGTGTGTTGTGGGAGGGACCTGGTGGGAGATAATTGAATCATGGGGGTGTTTTCCTCCATACTGTTCTCATGGTAGTGAATAAGTCTCACGAGATGTGATGGTTTTATAAGGGGAAACCCCTTTCACTTGGTTCTCATTCTCTCTCTTGCCTGCCGCCATGTAAGATGTGCTTTTCGCCTTCCGCTATGATTGTGAGGCCTCCCCAGCCACGTGGAACTGTGAGTCCATTAAACCTCTTTTTCTTTATAAATCACCCAGTATCAGGTATATCTTTATCAGCAGCATGAAAACAGACTAATACAGCTGGTTAAATTGTCATAAATGATTTTGCGGTTTGAAAAGTCAGTAACTCCTTTGTTTTTGAAAAAAAAAAAAAAAAAAAAGGTGAGGGGTTCATACATGACTTTCCACTAGATCACAATACACCTGCCTTAGCTAGATTGTCTGTGCCTTTTATACCCACGAAAAGTCAACATTTCTCTCACCAGGTTGCCTTGACCCTTTTCGGCTTTGCGGGCAGAGTTCCTGCTCCCCTGTTATAGGCCAGGAGACAGTCATTAAATTTGTAGGCACATTGCATTGTCTTCTGGAGCAGTAACACAGATTTCTGGGCGGCTGGTCTCATCAGATCTGCACAGCTGGATGCCAGCAACATTTTGCTTCTTTCTTTCCTAAGGCCTATGGTTCACTTCTCCAGCTGCTATATCTTTAAATTTTGCAACTGGTCACCCCTGTGTTATTCCTGACCTCATCCATTCCTTTTTCTGAATCTACTGGGAGCCAGGGGAGAAGATGCCTTAGGTCACACGGGGGTTACTCCAATGTGAGTTAGCTTTACAGAAAGCAATTCTTACCAAGTTAATTTGATCTGACCCAAGGGAGGCAGAAAGAAATCCCAGTCATAACAGACTTCTTGCAGAGACAATTGGATATTCATGGACTATTATGGCAAAGGTGGCCAAGTTTTGAAGGGTTGGCTGTGAAAACTCCTAGAGGAAGATCTGTTAGTGAACTTGGAAGCACTTAGGCAGTATTTCCCATTGCAACGATTTCAGAGACTTCAAAAGCTGATCTTACATAAATTTAGAACTTTCCCATTCACTGTGTCTTATTATAATTCTGGGAAGTGGCTCCATTCTGTTTATTATAGAAACAAGAGAAGAGTCTCTGTGAATCTTTTTATAAAATGATTTCCTGTCTACCTTGGTTCCCATACTCACGAATTGTTTAATTCACCTTCAGCACAAAAGTATATTTTAGTTGATTCTGGCTTGGTTGGCTCAAGCGAACTTTCTTTGTATGTTCACAGTGTGCCCGCCTCCACCACCTTTGCTGCAGCTATCTGCACCCTGCACTCTTTCTTCTTTGCTCTTATCTGCCACCCTCCCCTCTCCTCCCACCATCAGCCCTTTTCACTGCAAGGCTGTATGACACAACATTGACACTTTGGTGTCCTTTCAATTTCAGGTGGCATCTTTCCAGAGCCTCTGGCATTTAGGATTATTTCTAATTCTGCAATAAAAACCTTGTCTGCCAAAGGGATTTCAGGATCTGCCAGCAAGGAGGAATTTTTTTTTTTTTTTTTTTTTGGATTGGGCTTTTCTCAGTAAGCTTGAAATCAGACACTTAGGGAACTTCCATCTTGGCTACAAAAAAAGGTTATGTATTTGACTCTGTTATTTAAAAGGGGTTATGCTTGGAAGCTTTTATGCAGATGGAGGGGAGAGAACTTTAGGATGATGAGATGTACCTGAGGAGATGAAGGGAGTTGTTGAAGGCGAACATTTCTGCGTTGGGCGACTGAATGGAGGGTAGCAGTATTAGCTGAGATGGTGTTTTTGTCCATCCTGGCTGTTATAACAAAATACCATAAACAGAGTGGCTTATAAATAGAAATTGATTTCTCACAGTTCTGGAGGCTGGGAAGTCCAAGATCAAGGCACTGGCAGTGTCTGGTGAGGGCCTGCCTCCTGGTTCATAGACATCATCTTGCAGTGTCCTCATGTGGTGGAAGGGTTGATGCAGCTCTCTGGGGTCTCTTTCATGAGGGCACTAATCTCATTTGTGAGGGCTCTCCTCTCATGACCTAATCACCCCCCAAAAGGCTTCACCTCCTGTGATGGCTAATATTGAGTGTCAACTTGATCAGATTGAAGGATGCAAAATATTGTTTCTGGGTATGTCTGTGAGTGGGTTGCCAGAGGATATTAAGATTTGCTTCAGTGGACTGGGAGAGGCAGGCCCACCCTCAATCTGGGTGGGCACCATCCAGTTGGTTGCCAGTGAGGCTAGAAAAAGCAGGCAGAAGAAGGTGGAAGGGCAGACTTGCTGAGTCTTCCAGACTTCATCTTTCTCCTGTGCTGGATGCTTCCTGCCCTTGAACATCAGACTCCAAGTTCTTCGGCCCTTGGACTCTAGGACTTACTGCAGTGGTTTGCTGGGGGCTCTCAGGCTTTTGGCCACAGACTGAAGGCTGCACTGTCAGCTTCCCTACTTTTGAGGCTTTGGGACTTGGACTGAGCCACTACTGGCTTCCTTGCTCCTCAGCTTCCAGACAGCCTGTCATGGGACTTCACCCTGTGATCGTGTGAGTCAATTCTCCTTAATAAACTCCCTTCAATATATGCATCTGTCCTTTTACTTCTGTCCCTCTAGAGAACCCTGACTAATAACACCTCCTAATACCCTCACCTGCCGGTGAGGATTTCAATCTATGGATTTTGGGAGGACACAAACATTTAGACCCTAGCAGATGAGAAACCCAGGACAGGCAGCTGCCCTGGGGGAAGGAGATTAGTTCTGAGTAACTTGCATTACTTGTGGGATAGGTGAATGAAGAGGTCCACACCTATTTGGAAAAATGGGCCTGAACCTCAGGATAGAGATTAAGCTTGGAAATATGGACTTAGTCCTTCTCAGAGACCTCCTCTAAAAGGGCTGAATTCTAGCACAATTTGCAATTGCAAAAATGTGGAACCAACCCAAATGCCCATCAATCAATGAGTGGATAAAGAAATGGTATGGCCAGGTGCGGTGGCTCAAACCTGTAATCCTAGCACTTTGGGAGGCCAAGGCAGGTGGATAACGAGGTCAGGAGATCAAGACAATCTGGCCAACATGGTGAAACCTTGTCTCTCCTAAAATACAAAATAAATTAGCTAGGCATGGTGGCACGCACCTGTAGTCCCAGCTACTTGGGAGGCTGAGGCAGGGGACTCGCTTGAACCTAGGTGGTGGAGATTGCAGTGAGCTGAGATCACACCACCGCACTCCAGCCTGGTGACAGAATGAGACTCTGACACAAAAAAAAAAAAAAAAGAAAGAAACGGTGATATATATATATATATATATATATATATATATATATATATATATCTAACGGAATACTACTCAGCCATAAAAAGGAATGAATTAATGGTATTTGCAGCAACCTGGATGAGATTGGAGGCTATTATTCTAAGTGAAGTAACTCAGGCATGGAAAACCAAACATCGTATGTTCTCACTCACAGCAGTGAGGATGCAATGGCGTAAGAATGACACAATGGACTTTGGGAACTCACGGAGAAAGGGTGGGAGGGGGGTGGGGGATAAAAGGCTACAAATTGGGTGCAGTGTCCACTGCTCGGGTGATGGGAGCACCAAAATCTCACAAACCACCAGTAAAAAACTTATCCCTGTAACCAAACACCACCTGCTCCCCAATAACCTTTGGAAATAAAAAAATTAAAATTTAAATTTAAAAAAATGGCTGAATTCTAGAGAATTCCTCCAATTTAAGGGGGGGTGCTGAAAGAAAATAAAAAGTTGGAGAGGAGAGAAGAGGGAGCATCCAGATAAGAGAAAGCGAAACTAGGAGAGAGCAATGTCCCCGAAGTCAAGTGAGGAAAAGTATCAGGAAGGAGAGGGCATTGAAGGTGTCCGGGGCCAGAGTACCCCGAGGAATGGGGACAGAAAAGCAAGTTTGAGAATTGAAGACTCTAATCAAGTGATGGGACAATAGTCCCAGCAACTTCAAAGAATATAACAATAGTACTAAGTTGTTTACTTGCATTCTTTATATGATTCATATAAAGAATTCATAATAAGTGTTAAACATAAAGAAATGTTCACTTACAAATATTCATAAATAAGTGTTCACTTACAAATATTCATAAGTGTTCATTTATAAATATTCATAAATAAGTGTTAAACAAATAAAGTTACTACTTTAAGACGACTCTTTCTAAAGAGTTAGCCACTATCTGTAAGCTCTAAGATGTATTTTATATGGTCCGCTGTGTAGTTTTTGGATCTGAATCAGAACCTGGAGAATTTGAGGAGGGAATTTGTCGTAGACCTGTTCTACATATATCTCAATATCCAGTTAATATTTCTTTCTTCTTTTATTTTTTTTTTTTTTTGAGACAGTCTCACTCTGTCACCCAGGCTGGAGTGCAGTGGCACGATCTTAGCTCACTACAACCTTTGCCTCTAGGGTTCAAATGATTCTCCTGCCTCACCCTCCTGAGTAGCTACAGGTGCCCGCCACCATACCTGACTAATTTTGGTATTTTTAGTAGGTTTCACTATATTGGCCAGGCTGGTCTCGAACTCCTGACCTCAGGTGATCCTCCTGCCTTGGCCTCCCGAAGTGCTGGGATTACAGGCGTGAGCCACTGCGCCCAGCTAATATTCAGTTAATTTTTTAAAAATGCTTTCCTCCTTTCCGTCTTGTCTCCTTAATGCTGCTTAACGCCTCATTTGCTTCTTTTGCCTGTGCTTTTGGAGACAGGGCAGGCAGGTGAGCGGCAGCCTGTCTCATTCCATTCCCTCGGTAGCCTCAATTTTTTGCAGTGTGCCATCTACAGCTTAGTTTTCATCTCTAGTTCTCATATTACTTTTCAAGATCAAAAACCTATTTCTCAATATGATTCATGCTCCTTGGAGACTTGTGCTAATTATAGTTTGATGATATTGACTCTGCTGGATTTGGGGCGATGTCATTTTATGACGTCCCTTTCTTGTGTTTATCAACACTGGTTTGCTCAATTCACGTTTCCTTTTCATTTATTCTAAGAGTTACAGCTCTCCAATAGAATTAGATTCTTTCTATCTTTAGAGCAGCATGTTAATTTTTTTTTATCCTTCTCAACATTATTTCTAAATTGTTGAGTCTTTTTAATGATAACTAAAACCAACACTACTTTTACAATGACTCAATGGTGAGTCAAAATTCTTGTATCTAAGTTTGCTAACATAAATTTACTGTAGATTAGTCTTTTGCTAGGATTTGACTGGGGCGGCTGTGTACAGTTGTGCAGGCTGTTCACTGCATCCCCAAGGGGATGAATGCAGGCTGAAGCATGCCAAGTCATGCACTTTGGTGTGAAGCTGCGTCTTCCCAAGGAAGTAACTCCTTTCTCAAACGCACACAAAGACTTTTTACCAACTAGTGGAATCCTGGATCTGATCATTTTATACAGATCCTCAGCTTGCAATGCTATCCGTGAAGTCCTTGCCAAAAGCTTCCTAATGTGAGCACATCCAAAGTCTGGAGGACCACAATTGCTAGTGCACCAACCTTGTAGATCTCTTACCTTCAGGCTGTAGAAAAGCATTCCAGCCCATTGCAGAGTACATAGGAAAGCGGCGGCTATGGCTTCTCTATGCTCCTAGCTCTCTGCGCCAGTTTCTCCACTGACCTTAGATGATACTTCTAAGTATCATCTTCTAAGTATCTAAGGATAAGCCCCAACATAGCTTATCCTTTTATAGTAGGGAGGAAAACTTCTACCCCTTAGGACCTCCTGTTTTTCCCCAGACTTCCATAGCCCTTCTGTGCTTCGATCTCACCCGCCCATTTCCAGGGTCCAGACTTCTCTTGTGCTGGTTTTTAGCCTTCTATCTGGTCTTCTGTTATAAGGTGCACTGCTAAGAGGAGTGGACATGGAGAAGGGAGAGGGGCAAAGAGGGTGGGCCAGATATCGTCAGCACTGTTCCTAGCACCATTTTTTTTTTTTTTTTGAGATGGAGTTTCACTCTTGTTGCCCAGGCTGGAGTGCAATGGCGCAATCTCAGCTCACCGCAACCTCTACCTCCTGGGTTCAAGCAATTCTCCTGCCTCAGCCTCCTGAGTAGCTGGGATTACAGGCATGCACCACCATGCCTGGCTAATTTTGTATTTTTAGTAGAGACTGGGTTTCTCCATGTTGGTCAGGCTGGTCTCGAATTCCCGACCTCAGGTGATCCACCCGCCTTGGCCTTCCAAAGTGCTGGGATTACAGGCGTGAGCCACCATGCCCGGCCTTGTTCCTAGCACCTTTTATGCTCTTCTCTGTATCTTAGGCCTTAGAAGCCTAGGGACTATATTTCTGAAATGCCTTTGCCAACAGGCTTTAGGATACAGCTGAGAAGATGTGTCTGTGCCAGGTTTGAAAAGCTGAGGCTGCAACAGGTGTGTGGGCTTCCAACAGATGAATCTGCAGCCCCTTTCATGTTTCCTTAACTGTTATTAGCCCAGGGCTTGTAGGCATCTGGGACTACTGGCAGTGGTTTTCTGCATTTTACTCACCTCTGGGTGGCAGGTGCCGCTTCCTGACCCCCTGGACCAACCACAGCTTTGGTGACAAATTTGAAAACTAGGATTGAATTCCCTGAAACTCATCGTAGAAACCTTTTACAGAGGCCGGGCGCGGGGGCTCATGCCTGTAATCCTAGCACTTTGGGAGGCTGAGGCAGGCGGGTCACGAGGTCAGGAGATCGAGACCATCCTGGCTAACACGGTGAAACCCCGTCTCTACTAAAAATACAAAAAATTAGTGGGGCGTGGTGGCATGTGCCTGTAATCCCAGCTGCTGGGGAGGCTGAGGCAGGAGAACCGGGAGGCGGAGGTTGCGGTGAGCTGAGATTGTGCCACTGCACTTCAGCCTGGGTGACAGAGCAAGACTCCATCTCAAAAAAAAGAAAGAAACCTTTTGCAGAGAGGATTCAGAGTTTTATTCATAACTCCCAAAATATTCCAAACAATTGCCTTAAATCTTAAATATTGATGTGAATATTTACTCAATGACTTGGAATTGTTATGCTAACTTTGGAAATATCTCAAAAGAATGATTATTCATCTACTTTGCATTTGAAACTTACAAATTTTGGGTTTCACTTCCTTTCATTTGTTATTCATATAAGAAGTATTTACCAAGTAAAAGCTACTTGATTATAAATCCCCAAAGGGCCTGGCTCCATGAATTATTCTGTTTCTCATATGCGCCATCTTTCCTGCTTCCCTTGGCCTAAGAACATATGGAAGTTTATACCAATCTAAAAATAATCACTAAATAACAAGGCCTCTCTTGGTTCATATTTTCCCTTTATGACCACTTTTTCTAATTAATTATCTTTTCATCCAAACTTCTTCAATATATACTTGGTCTCTTGAATTTCTTTCTTTCTTTTTTTTTTTTTTAAGAGGGAGTCTCTCTCTGTCACCCAGGCTGGAGTGCAGTTGCACAATTTTGGCTCACTGCAACCCCCAGCTCCCGGATTCAAGTGATTCTCCTGCCTCAACCTCCTGAGTAGCTGGGATTACAGGCATCTACCACCACACCTAGCTAATTTTTATGTTTTTAATAGAGATGGGGTTTCGCCATGTTGGCCAGGCTTGTCTCAAACTCCTGACCTCAGGTGATCTGCCCACCTTGGCCTCCCAAAGTGCTGGGATTATAGGCATGAGCCACTGCACCTGGCCTCATGGTCCCTTGAATTTCTGATGTTTTATGGAATATTTGAAAGTTTTCTGCCTGGAAAGGAGGGAGGATTATGGATCAAAAAGTTTGAATTAAACAAAATGTTGGAGACTGCTTTCCACGGTCTTCAATATGCTGATATGCATTACAAAGCCCCACAACGGAGGTGGGGATGGGGTCACGGATTTCAGTGCTTCCTGAATGCTTTGGACTGAAAATCCATCTGCTGTGTCCAAAATCGCTAAGGACCTCCCGTTGTTAAATTCAATGGGCATGTAACAGGGTGTGGAATTGTTGTTAGCAGAAGAAACTGACATGTGAAAGTTGCCAGCCATTTCTATTTCTGGCATGGGGACACTGAGTCATCTTGAAGCTGACTTCTTTGGGAAGAACCACTGGAGTGGCTCCCTTTAGTGACAGAGCCGTAAAGTTTCTGGGGTGCGCACACAACAGCACGCTCACTCAATATTCCCTTGGCTGGGGCTGGGACCCAGGCTTGCTAGGCAGACTCCAGTGCCTTGATCTCAGGTTGCTGGGGTGGTGGTGGCAGTTTGCCTGGAAGCCAGAACACTTTCTGGAAGGAAGGATATTGACACTTCAACTATTCTCTTTGTTGTCAGGATCTTCAGGGGGCCTCAGAAAATAGTTCTCTTCTTCCCTGCCTGGGTTCTGAACAAGTGTGAAACCAGAGAAAGGCAGATGAGAGATTTAAAACTTTTTTGTATGTGACTGACAAAGGCTTGGTTGGAGGGCGTGATTTTCTGTTGGGGAACGTCACCTGCTAATGGGGTGCTCTAGCATTTTCCAGATGTGTCCACACAAGCCTGGCCCCTGCACCCATACTGTGCTCTCCTTCCTCTCCCTAGACAATCTCACTCCTTCTCATGGCTTTGCTCACCTCCTCCCCACATCTTCAGACCTCTGTAATCCACTGATTGCTGGCAACTTTCTGGGCATCTCAAAATCAGGATCTCACAATGTTACTGGAAAGGAGTCCCGATCTAGACCCCAAGAGAGGGTTATTGGATCTCGTGCAAGAAAGAATTCAGGGTGAGTCCACAGTGCAAAGCAAAAGCAAGTTTATTGAGAAAGTAAAGTGGGGCCGGGCGCGGTGGCTCATGCCTGTAATCCCAGCACTTTGGGAGGCCGAGGCGAGTGGATCACCTAAGGTCAGGAGTTCGAGACCAGACTGACCAACATGGAGAACCCTGTCTCTATTAAAAATACAAAATTAGCCAGGTGTGGTGGTGCATCCCTGTAATCTCAGCTACTTGAGAGGCTGAGGCACAAGAATCGCTTGAACCCGAGAGGTGGAGGAGGTTGTGGTGAGCAGAGATTGTGCCATTGCATTCCAGCCTGGGCAACAAGAGTGAAATGCTGTCTCAAAAAAAAAAAAAAAGAAAAGAAAAGAAGGTAGAGTGGTGAAAGATGGCTACTCCATAGACAGGGTAGGGCGTTCCCGAAGGCAGAAGAAGAAACATGTCCACCCTAGGTATAATACTCATTTATGTAGGATAAAGAAGATCATGGGGAGATGTGCTCTGCTACAAGGGTTTGTGATAAAGGATTAATTTTCTTAATGACTATATCTTGCAAGAATCGATATTACTATCTTTAAAGCAAAATTAGGAATGCTTCTGTTCTCAAGATATTGGGATATCAGGATGTTATATATAAAATGTTTATTCAGAAACAGAATGCTTGTTCCTTGGTACCATAAGGAAAAAAAAATCAGCATTTAGACAAAAAGTTTTCTCAGCAAGGTTATTTTACTTTCTGCAGAAAGGGTGCTCCTCGCAGATGGAAAAATGGCAAGAGCACACCTGAATAAAGGAGGGAAGCAATTTTTATCCCTTACGCAGCTTGTCCCTGC
Organism: Homo sapiens; assembly: GCF_000001405.40. Classification (NCBI taxonomy): domain Eukaryota; kingdom Metazoa; phylum Chordata; class Mammalia; order Primates; family Hominidae; genus Homo; species Homo sapiens. Next base: position 13,083,813 of record NC_000010.11, on the reverse strand, counting down.
TACTCTGTCCTGTCTCCATTGGCTGGAGCCAGACCTCACAATCTAAACTGAACCCAATTGGCTGACAATTTAAAACTTCTCTAAATAGGTAAAAGCAATGGAGAACAAAGGAAAAGAGGAAGTTGCTTACGAAAGGACTTAGAAAAGTAATAACATTCCCAAATAAGGAAGGGGCATAGGCTGTGAGCTGGGACATGCCTGTGAGCACCTCCAGCACAGATATCTTGGTTAAAGTACAAGGACATAGAATGTACTATGTGCCTGTGAGCACATTTAACAGCTACATAGGATAGGGCTTAACAAAGAGTTATTAGCACAAATCAAGGAAGCTTGAAGGAAGTTAGTCTTTAAAAGAAACTATTATTTCTAACACTTATGATTTATTCTTTAACAAAAAGGGAAACTGTGAAGAGGAAACTTTTTACTTTCTACGGTTCCCTCCTCTTGATTTCATAGTTTTTTCCTCTGCAAACTTTCTTAACATGTCTTGTTCTAGCTATTTTGCTTGAGTTTTTAAAAGAAAAAGCTTTTCTGGTTGATGAAATGCCAGGGTAAAAGGGATAGCCAATTGAACTAGAGTGCAAGTACTGCTCTAATTGTTTGGCAGAATGTCCAGTAAAGGTCCTCTACAATACTACCATACATCTGCTTGGTGATGAATAATGGTGGACTGATGGGTCAGCTCTTGGAAGTGCCTGAACTCACTGCTTGTTAAGTCTCCAAGGAATGCCAAATTTTCCCCTTGTCGTTGGAGAAATGAGGTAAAATTGGTCTTGAAAGATGGAGGCTGTGTGGGCAGCAAGCCATCCAGGTGCTGAGGCAAGAGACCGAGGGCACAAGCTGTTCCAGTATAATAAAGAAAACACATAGAAGAGGAATAGTTGTACTAGAAATAGGATATAGATATGATTATATATGAATATTATTAATCATTAGTTTGTAGCATTACTCTTTATTCCACTGTTATAATAATTTCTGTTCTACAATTATAACCTAGGAAAAACCAGGCCATACAGAGATAGGAGCTGAAGGGGCACAGTGAGAAGTGACCAGAAGGCAAGTGTGAGCCCTCTGTCACGCCCGGATAGGGCCACTAGAGGGCTCCTTGGTCTAGCGGTAACACCAGTGCCTGGGAAGGCAACCGTTACTTAGCTGACCTTGGTCTAGCAGTAATGTCAGTGCCTAGGGAAGGCACCCGTTACTTAGCAAACCGGGAAAGGGAGTCTCCCTTTCCCCAGGGGAGTTAGAGAAGACTCTGCTCCACCACCTCTTGTGGAAGGCCTGACATCAGACAGGCCTGCCCGCAGCCATCCAGAGGCCTAAACGTCTCCCTGTGATGCTGTGCTTCAGCGGTCACGCTCCTGGTCCACTTTCATGTTCCACCCTGTATACCTGGCTCTGCCTTCTAGATAGCAGTAGCAGAATTAGTGAAAGTACTAAAAGTCTCTGATATGCAGAAATAATGGCGTAAGCTGTGTCCTCTCTCTCCGCCTTGGCTGTCAAACAGGGAAGGGCCGCCTGTCCAGTGGACATGTGACCCACGTGACCTTACCTATCATTGGAGATGGCTCACACTCCTTACCCTGCCCCCTTGTCTTGTATCCAATAAATAACAGCACAGCCTGGCATTTGGGGTCACTATCAGTCTCCACATCTTGGTGGTAGTGGTCCCCTGGGCCCAGCTGTCTTTTCTTCTATCACTTTGTCTTGTGTCTTTATTTCTATGATCTCTTGTCTCTGCACACAGGGTGAAAGACCCACAGACCCTGTAGGGCCGGTCCCTACAAGGCTGGATGGCCCTCGGGGGCTGACCCACAGGGTACTGCATTTTAGGAAATAGCAGAGAGAGTTTGGCACAGTTCACTGTCACAGGCTGTAGGATTTTGAAAAAGAGCTACCAGGAAGTCCATGTCTTGTCGATTAGAGGATTATCTGAGTGGAAAGGGGACAACCTGGACCTCTGGCCTACCACGCACACAAGCGTAACGATTGCATTTATTTAGAGTGCAGATGGAATATTTAATCCATTTTAGCCAGGCATTTACATCCTGATACCTTGTCTCAATTGTTCTTGTTTGCCTTAGGTTTTTTACTTTTACTATAGAGACTTTGGTCTTGTCATTGTGTCTGGGAGGAGTGATAACTAAACAGGCATTAAAAGTAGTAACTTGAGGTGAGTTAGATTTAGTTACCTTAATAAGATGGAGAGTAGTTAAAGGGAAGAAAATAAAAAGAGAAGATAGATTAAGTTTTCGTAGCTTTAACTTGGTAGGGCTTGACCCTGGAACAATGGCCCATGACTCTGATGGTGATGATGCTTTCTTGACGCAGGTATGATGTGTCCATCCTTTTCTGCTGTGTGAACGGCAGTCTCAGTGGTTAGCAGCACAAGGTAGGGTCCTTCCCAGGCTGGCTCAAGTTTTTCTTCTTTCTGACCTTTGATGAGGATGTGGTTTCCAGGCTGGTGCTGGTGTACTGGAAATTCTAGGGGTGGTACCTGTGCTAAAAGACTTAGTTCTGAGGGAAGGGAAAGTGGAAGATAAACCAAGTATATAATTTCTGAGAAACTGATCTTTTGTTTTAAATGTGGGGACATCAGCAGTGGAATGTAAGTAAGGCAACCTATAGGTATTTTTTTTTTTTTTTTTTTACTTTATAGTTCCTAGTGTCTTCTTGTTGAGAAATTTCCTTTTTTAAAAATGTTTACTTAGTTGTTTCTGAGGGACCCTTTGGGGCTTCTTATTTTGTTAGGACTTTGCATATCTTGGGGCTTGAGGCCCCATGGTGATGCCTCCTGCCCCATCCCTACTTAGTGTTGCCTAGGGGACCTGGTGGCCCTGCCCCTCTCTCGAGGTCTCGGCCTCTCTGTGGCCCTCATCACCCCTGTGCGTTTCGGCCTTGGGGATGAGGGGCCTTGTGACTCACCCGGCCAACCCTAGACTTTGCTCCTGCCCAAGCCCCCACTGTCTGGCCTCTGGCCTTGGGCTGGGCTGTGCTGTCTAACAACTGCCTGGCCCCCTCCCTGACACAGGAAGTGTCTGTCCGTGGCTAGGTCCCCCTGCTGGCTTGTACCCTGGCCTGTCTAGGAGCCACTGGAGGTGGAAACTTGTTGGTATTAACTCTGCGCTGGAGGGCCCCTAATGGGTTCTTTGATGCAGTTGGAATAAGATTTTCTTTATAAGGGGTTGGATAATATTTCCCTTTGGTTTAGCAATATTTATTTTTCTTTTGAATTTTCTTTAGCACCTTTTTTTAACCTTTTAATGTAGGTAAAAATTGATATTCTTATGCCTCCTTATAATCCTTTTACTAAAAGTATATTTTATTTTCCTTACATATCTTGCACATAAACTGTTCCTTTAATAGTTTTACATTCAGGAGGCCTAATTACTTTTAAATTATACAACATTTCTTGCATAAATTCTCTTTTGTAACATTTTTTATGGCTTTCACAGACAATCTTTGACATGCTTTAACTTTCTGACTTCCTTTTACACTATTTCTCTTCCTAGTCTTACCTTCTGTGTCTTTCTCTGATCATTGTCTCTTCCAGTCTGTCACTTATTCTCTCCCTCTATCTCTCTTTCATTTGCTCGCTCTCGCTCTCTCTCTCTCTCTCTTTGCCATCCCGTTTCCTCTCTCCCTTACACTCAGTCTCTTGGGCTGGGTGGGATCCATGCGGCTGCAGTCTGGGCCCAGGGCTGCCATCGGCCCAGAGGCTCGGCAGATGCCAGGTTCAAGTTGTTTGAGTCGTTAACCCTGGGCCAGAGGGCCCCCTTGTCTTCCCTCCTTATCTTTACATCCACAGCCCTTATAGCACTTTCTTTGACCTTCTTCTTTAAAGTACCTACCTTGCCTTCTTTCTCTTTGCATTCTTGAGTTCCCTTTCTTTTTTTAACCTCGTCTAGAGAACTTTGGAACTTTGCCAAAAGATTTTTGCTTTCTGTCTCTGCCTTTTTCTCTCTCTGCTGCTCTTCCCTGCCTCTGCCAGCCACCCACGCTGCTGCTCTCTCTTCTCCTCCCCCTTTCCCTAGGGAGTGGCAGTGGGAATGGAGCTTAGCCTCTTTCTTCCCCTGAGAAGAGGGGAAAGGGAAGTTTTGAATATCCTTTTTACTACTGGACGTTTGTGTGATGTTTAATCTTCCCCTAATGGGGATTTTTCACCTCTTTTTAACCTCTAAGACATTCTGTCTAAGGAATACTTCACCGCCACCCCCATTCTCCCCCCAACCCCGTGGCTTTTCTTTTCTCAGTCCTGACCTAAGGAATGCTTTACCGCTCCTGCTGTTTCTCTTGCCTTGGTATGTGTCCCAACCAAGGAATGCTTTATGGCCCCGCTTTAGTCCTGCCTGACTAAGGAATTGCTTTACTGGCTCCTCCAGTGTTCCCTTCCTTGGCTCATGCATGAGGTCACCCGGTCCACGTGGTACGTGAGGATCCTTTACTCCAGGTCACAGCCAGTTTCCTTCTGCGTTGCTGAGAGTCCGGGTTTATTCATCACACCAGGTGGGTCTCGATTCCTTACCCCTAAGGCCACAACGCGTGCCTCCTCATGAGAGAGGACTAGAGACCACCCCCGGAGGGGAATGTATCCCCATATGTGCCACCATTTTGTTATATGTAAAATGTTTATTCAAAAACAGAATGCTTGTTCCTTGGTACCATAAGGAAAAATCAGCATTTAGACAAAAAGTTTTCTCAGCAAGGTAATTTTACTTTCTGCAGAAAGGGTGCTCCTCGCAGATGGAATAATGGTGACAACACACCTGAATAAAGAAGGGAAGCAATTTTTTTTTAATTATTATTATATTTTAAGTTCTAGGGTACATGTGCACAATGTGCAGATTAGTTATATATGTATACATGTGCCATGTTGGTGTGCTGCACCCATTAACTCGTCATTTACATTAGGTATTTCTCCTAATGCTATCCCTCCCCACCTCCCCCCACCCCACGACAGGCCCCGTTGTGTGATGTTCCCCACCCTGTGTCCAAGTGTTCTCATTGTTCAGTTCCCACCTATGAGTGAGAACATGTGGTGTTTGGTTTTCTGTCCTTGCGATGGTTTGCTCAGAATGGTGGTTTCCAGCTTCATCCATGTCCCTACAAAGGACATGAACTCATCCTTTTTTATGGCTGCATAGTATTCCAGGGTGTATATGTGCCACATTTTCTTAATCCAGTCTATCATTGATGGACATTTGGGTTGGTTCCAAGTCTTTGTTATTGTGAATAGTGCCGCAATAAACATATGTGTGCATGTGTCTTTATAGTAGTATAATTTACAATCCTTTGGGTATGTACCCAGTAATGGGATTGCTTGGTTAAATGGTATTTCTAGTTCTAGATCCTTGAGGAATAGCCACACTGTCTTCCACAATGGTTGAACTAGTTTACAGTCCCACCAACAGTATAAAAGTGTTCCTATTTCTCCACATCCTCTCCAGCACCTGTTGTTTCCTGACTTTTTAATGATCACCATTCTAACTGGTGTGAGATGGTATCTCATTGTGGTTTTGATTTGCATTTCTCTGATGGCCAGTGATGATGAGCATTTTTTCATGTGTTTTTTGGCTGCATAAATGTCTTCTTTTGAGAAGTGTCTGTTCATATCCTTTGCCCACTTTTTGATGGGGTTGTTTGCTTTTTTCTTATAAATTTGTTTAAGTTCTTTGTAGATTCTGGATATTAACCCTTTGTCAGATGGGTAGATTGTAAAAATTTTCTTCCATTCTGTAGGTTGCCTGTTCACTCTGATGGTAATTTCTTTTGCTGTGCAGAAGCTCTTTAGTTTAATTAGATCCCATTTGTCTATTTCAGCTTTTGTTGCCATTGCTTTTGGTGTTTTAGTCATGAAGTCCTTGCCCATGCCTATGTCCTGAATGGTATTGCCTAGGTTTTCTTCTAGGGTTTTTATGGTTTTAGGTCTAACATTTAAGTATTTAATCCATTTTGAATTTATTTTTGTACAAGGTGTAAGGAAGGGATCCAGTTTCAGCTTTCTACATATGGCTAGCCAGTTTTCCCAGCACCATTTATTAAATAGGGAATCCTTTCCCCATTGCTTGTTTTTGTCAGGTTTGTCAAAGATCAGATGATTGTAGATGTGTGGTATCATTTCTGAGGGCTCTGTTGTGTTCCATTGGTCTATATCTCTGTTTTGGTACCAGTACTGTGCTGTTTTGGTTACTGTAGCCTTGTAGTATAGTTTGAAGTCAGGTAGCGTGATGCCTCCAGCTTTGTTCTTTTGGCTTAGGATTGTCTTGGCAATGCAGCTCTTTTTTGGTTCCATATGAACTTTAAAGTAGTTTTTTCCAATTCTGTGAAGAAAGTCATTGGTAGCTTAATGGGGATGGCATTGAATCTATAAATTACCTTGGGCAGTATGGCCATTTTCACGATATTGATTCTTCCTATCCATGAGCATGGAATGTTCTTCCATTTGTTTGTGTCCTCTTTTATTTCGTTCAGCAGTGGTTTGTAGTTCTCCTTGAAGAGGTCCTTCACGTCCCTTGTAAGTTGGATTCCTAGGTATTTTATTCTATTTGAAGCAATTGTGAATGGGAGTTGACTCATGATTTGGCTCTCTGTTTGTCTGTTATTGGTGTTTAGGAATGCTTGTGATTTTTGCACTTGATTTTGTATCCTGAGATTTTGCTGAAGTTGCTTATCAGCTTAAGGAGATTTTGGGCTGAGACGATGGGGTTTTCTAAATATACAATGATGTCATGTGCAAATAGGGACAATTTGACTTCCTCTTTTCCTAATTGAATACCCTTTATTTCTTTCTCCTGCCTGATTGCCCTGGCCAGAACTTCCAACACTATGTGTAATAGGAGTGGTGAGAGAGGGCATCCCTCTCTTGTGCCAGTTTTCAAAGGGAATGGGAAGCAATTTTTGTCCCTTATGCAGCTTGTCCCTGCTACTCTGTCCTGTCTCCATTGGCTGGAGCCAGACCTCACAATATAAACTGAACCCGATTGGCTGACAATTTAAAACTTCTCTAAATAGGTGAAAGCAATGGAGAACAAGGGAAAGGAGGAAGTTGCTTACTAAAGGACTTAGAAAAGTAATAACATTCCCAAATAAGGAAGGGGCATAGGCTGCGAGCTGGGACATGTCTGTGAGCATGTCCAGCACAGATATCTTGGTTAAAGTACAAGGACATAGAATGTACTATGTGCCTGTGAGCATGTTTAATAACTACATAGGATAGGGCTTAACAAAGAGTTATTAGCACAAAGCAAGGAGGCTTGAAGGAAGTTAGTCTTTAAAAGGAACTATTACTTCTAACACTTATGATTTATTCTTTAACAAGGGAAACTTTGAGGAAGAAACTTTTTGCTTTCTACACAGGACACTCCTACGTCTGGGTCTGTTTAGTAAAGGTTATCAATCTGTTTCCTTAGCCACAAACATCTAGAGGCTAGGAATATCTAACTTTCGGGGAGGGCAGCCCAGCAAGTCCCAGCCTCATTTTTCCTAGTCCTCACCCAAGATGGAGTTGCTCTGGTTTGAATGCCTCTGACAACAATCCTAAATGTATTACTGTTGGCTGAATTGCTTTATCCTCTCTATTTTTCGTTTTAATTCCAGCCATCAACATTTGCCCATTTGCTAAGTTAGAAATTTGGAGGCAGCTTTGACTCTTCTGCCCATACTGAGTTAGCCATCGAGACCTGCCTCCTTTGCTTCCCTATTTCCCTGATACCTGCTTCCCTATTATTTTAGGTTTTTTTGTTTGCTTGTTTTAAGATAGGGTCTTGCTCTGTCACCCAGGCTGGAGTGCACTGGCACAATCTTGGCTCATTGCAACCTCTGCCTCCCAGGTTCAAGCAATTCTCCTGCCTCAGCCTTTGGATATCTGGGATTACAGGCACATGCCATGATGCCTGGCTATTTTTATTTTATTTTATTTTATTTTTTTAGTAGAGACAGAGTTTAGCCATGTTGGCCAGGCTGGTCTCAAACTCCTGACCTCAAGTGATCCGCTCACCTTGGCCACTGAAAGTGCTGGGATTACAGGTGTGGAGCCACCATGCCCGTGCGCCTACCCACATCGATACATAAAATTAACCATTGCACTGAGCAAATTGGTTAATCATCAATTTTTGAAAAGTATATTGAGCATTGAAGGCTCATCCAATTCTAGGCCAGGTTTCATGGAGAATCTATAATGCAAAGTCTTTATTCCTTCTTGTCTCCCCTCCCCACAAGGGTTTTTTCCTGGTTTATTTATTTATTTATTAGTGTTTCTTCCCTTATTTTTAGCAGATTCAATACTTTAGCGGTGGGAAGAGGTTCATCCTTAGGAGCTTCTAAACCATTACCCACCTACCCAGGCTGGGACGTCTAGAAAAAAAAAACAAAAAAACAAACGTGTCTGATGAAAATAGGAATATCTGTGTGTCATCTTCCCCGACTCAGATATCAATCACTTATTATTTCGTTTAAAAGCCAAAGAAACAAAAATACCCACTGATTTTGGAGCTCCTACATGTGCCAGTCACTATGCAGGATGCTGGGGATACAGTGATACGCAAAACAAAAAGTTGTTTATTGCTTGTTAAACAAAGCAAAGGCACTTTATGCACCAGCAGAGGAAATAGGAAAACCATAGTGGAAAAGACTCCCTAGCTTCTGAGATATTGATAAGAAGTTGGAGAGATGATTTGTTATAAAGGGATGTAAAGCCTCGTTTCAGTGGGAAACCATTCGTTCATCAGGGAGCCAGGTTTGCAGTGGGCACCTATGCGTCAGTTCTGATGTTCCCCGCCTACGATTGTTTGTCCATGTCCAGCAGATGGCGCCAAGTGACTGGCCGCGGCTGGGATGTACCGGGTCCTCTTTGGAAAACATGAAATCTATTTCTATAGGGCCAGCATCTTAAAGAAGGCACTCATATTGTCTGTTTGAGACCCTTTCTTTTGCTCCATTTTAATGTGATATGTGGATCAAAATAAGAAATAGACAATAAAATGGTTTCTCCTCCTGGAATGTGGTAATATTGTGGAATAACAGGAACACAGGTCTAACGTAGATAGCTGAGTAAAACAGCACCCAGACTTGCAGCCGGCACGGGGAACTCATGTGAGTGTGTGTATGTGTGTGCACGCGTATTTGTGCTTATGAGAAAGATTAAACAGTAAAGGATGGAAGTGATAACAAATGCTTTAACAAGGGTAAGGAGAAAGTATTGTAGAAAAATCTATAAAAGCTGAGGGAGTGGGAGAGGGGGAGGGGGAGGGAGAGTTAGTTCAAGTGAGCATGAGAGCTGGGACCTTGGATTAAAAGCATTAAAAGAACTCCAGAAGAAAAGATTTGATTCCGCCGGTTGTGGTGGCTCACGCCTGTAATCCCAGCACTTTGGGAGGTCGAGGTGGGCGGATCACCTGAAGTCGGGAGTTCGAGACCAGCCTGACCAATATGGAAAAACCCCGTCTCTACTACAAAAAAAAAAAAAAAAAAAAAAAAAAAAAAAAAAAAAATTAGCCGGGATATGGTGGTGCATGCCTGTAATCCCAGCTACTCGGGAGGCTGAGGCAGGAGAATTGCTTGAACCTGGGAGGCAGAGGTTGCAGTGAGCTGAGATCACGCCATTGCACTCCAGCCTGGGCAACAGGGGTGAAACTCTGTCTCAAAAAAAAAAAAAAAAAAAAATATATATATATATATATATATATATTTGATTCCTCTGTTTCTTGCAATCCTAGTAACAGGTGACTTGAATTTCAAGTGATTATCATATAAATGGAGGATTAGAAAAGAGACACCAACTCTGGAACCAGTTCAATGGAATTCTTCAAGAGACTGTAACTTAGTGCTTACAAAGACTTGGAATGATCTACACTGCATGGTGTACCTGTTAGAGGAGGTGACATCAAAGCTTTAGGTACTGAGAGAGGATACTTCCTACTGTGGAAGGGAAGAAAAGAAAAAAGCAAAGGTGAGTTGGAATGGTAGACCTGTTGGGTTTATTCTCTCATTGCTAAGCTTTTAAAATCTCTCATTTAAAAAAAATGTCTTGGGCAGGCCACCGTGGCTCATGCCTGTAATCCCAGCACCTAGGGAAGCTGGCATGGGAGGACTGCTTGAGCTCACGAGTTGGAGACCAGCCTAGGCAACATTGAGAAACCCTGTCTCTACAAAAAATTAGCCGAACGTGGTGGCAGGTGCTTGTAGTTGTAGCTGTAGCCTCCTAGCTACTCAGGAGGCTGAGGTGGGAGGATTGCTTGAGCCTAGGAGGGGGAGGTTGCAGTGAGCCAGCCTGGGTGACAGAGTGAGATCCTGTCTCAAAAAAAAAAGTCTTCATCTAATACGGTGAAAGATGGAAGGGGATGTGGTTACTCCTGCTCCAGTTGGATTTGTTTTCTCCATTTAGAAGCTGCTTTCAGAGCAGTAATGACACCTGAGTTTAGAAAACAGTTCCCTGTGTCTGTGCATCTTCCAGCTCAGTGTCCTATGTCACCTGTCCTGAGACATTCCAAGAAGGAAGACCAAAAGACAGCATTCTTGAGCTATTCCAAAGAGATCACAGAGGCCACCACCAAAGAGAAGACTAAGAATCTACCATAGTTTGCCCCGGTAAAATGGTATTTTTCTTAGGAACTATTGCAAGTTATAAAACTCCTAAGTGAAATGATTGTGTGGCCAGGGATAGTGGCTCATGCCTGTAATCCCAGCACTTTGGGAGGTCAAGGCAGGTGGATCATTAGAGGTCAGGAGTTCAAGACCAGCCTGACCAACATGGTGAAACTCGTCTCTACTAAAAATATAAAAATTAGCCAGGCGTGGTGGCACATGCCTGTAATCCCAGCTGCTTGGGAGGCTGAGGCAGGAGAATCGCTTGAACCCAGGAGGTGGAGGTTGCAGTGAGCCGAGATCATGCCACTGCACTCTAGCCTGGGTGACAGAGTGAGACTCTGTCTCAAAAAAAAAAAAAAAAAGAAAGAAAAGAAAAGAAAAGAAATGATTGTGCAGGCAGAAATGTCTTTAAGGCATCATTGTTGCAGAATTTTGCTCCTTAGTTCAGCTAAAACTGGGTTCATGTCACATGACCAGGAGACTTTAGACATGTGGACACATTGAAGGGTGTGCAGAGCAGCATTTTATTGGGCAAAAGGGGGAAAAAAAAAGAAAAAACTCAGCAAAGTGAGATGGAGTCCTATTAACAGGCCTCCCACCTCACAGGTTGAATCCCAGGCCACCACACAGGAACTGAAGAGCAGGCTCCTCCCCCTGCCTGTGGCTCCACCCCATTCTCCCAGTGCACATGTGAGCAGGCTCAGATGAAGCCCTGGGCATGTTCCCTCATCTGTACAGAAGCATCTGATGTAAACACTTGTGGGGTGGGTCGGAGATTCTCTGGGGACACCTTTATATCTGCCTAGGCATTTGGCTGTCTTATTCCCCCCTCTAAAGAAGTACATCCAACGGCGGTTAGAATAAGGTAAGGATAAGGATGATGACCAAAATTAACTGCTTTCTGCTAACAGGGGGCACTGTTTTGGGGAAAACAGCAGTCAGATCTCCCTCAGAGGCTTATCTAAGTATCCCCAGCAGAAAAGGCCATCGTCCGAGGCTCTGGTTGCATGATCATTTGGAGTTTGATAGCCTGAAGGCGAGAATAGACAACTGGGTTATTAGGAAACATATATCAAAACGAAACAAGGAGGTTACGGTAAGGACAGCTCAAAAAATCCCAAGGCCTTTTACTGGTTTGCAAAGTGGGAGGGGAGGCCAAAAGCCCAACTGGTTAAAAAAATAAAAAATGAAACTACCCTTTTGCCAGCATTTGGACTTCTGGGTTCCCTTCTCCTGAGCCCAGTACTAAACCAACCAGCCTAAGGTTTAGGAAATTAACTCTTCCCAGTTTGGAGAATGCATCTGAAGGGAGCGTCTCATAGTACAGAGACACCATTATATATCACTGAAGAGAGGACAGAGGAAAAAAAAAGGAAAAAGAAGGTGTTTTTTAGAGGAGTCCCAGGGGTTCAGGAGGCATTCAAAAGAGATACAGACTGAAGATGAATGGCTACCCATCCAGAAAGAAGGGAGCAGGCATCCCTGGTTCCTTTCTCTTACTAGCAAACACCCAGAGTACGTGAGGGACGGAAAGTGAGGCGTTCCTCTTTCTTTCCTCTGTCCTTGTATCCCCAAGTCCTGGCAGCCACAACAGGGTGCCACCTATGGGTGTCAAAGTGGCTTTCACCCATGTTAAAAGGAGGGCCTAAGGGATGGGAATATCCGCTCTTACCCACATACGCCCTGTCTCCCCTGCTGTCAGTAGCCTGTGAATTCCCTAGACCTCATTTATGCCGTGGATACTAGCATGACCTTTATCCGTGTAATGGGAAGCTTGGCTTAAGCAGCAGGAATTAGTCATGCTCACCTGTGCTGTGTCTTTTAACTGCCATTATCATCTGTCTCTGGATTCCTCAGATCCAGTTTTCTTTCCTAGGGCTTTGAGCTGAAGTTTGGAATTGAATTTGGGACAAAAATACGTCTTGAGGGGGGGTTGCGTGGACTCCTTATTATAAGCTGAATGCTGAGATGAAGCGGTGGAATTGAGTCCTCCTCCAACCAGGGAGAGAAAAGGATGTCTTGTGACACCCCTAGATCACTGGTGGCTATAGTTATGCTTGCTAAGATTTGGACGCATGGGGCTTGGCTTTGGTTAGCTCCCTTTGTCTTACTTTCCCAAAAAGGAAACCTCTGGGTGGTGGGCATCCTATTTATTTTCATCACCTGGAAGGATTTGCAGGATAACTGCTCAGAAGGAGAATACTGATCCAGATTTTTACGTCACCCATCCCTTTTGTTTTTTTCTGAGCTGCAGCCAGAGATTGCTGTTTGGTTCACAGGAACAAGCAGGGTTCGTCTAAAATGTAGGCAAAAAGTTAAAAACAATGAATGAATCTAGAACCTAATGATAAGTTTTGAAACATTATTTCTCTTTCTCTAGTCTTCATTTTTGTTAAAAACAAATCATGATAGGACTGGGTTGTTTGCAAAATAGACTTTAGTCTTATACTTGGCCCGATTATTTGCATAAAGTGCAGCAAGAATAATTATTTCCACATAGGCCTTTTAGATCGGCTTTCATGGAACTTTGTTCCACAGAGAATCTCAAATAAGACCTTTTAAAGCTGAGCCTAGTCATGGGTTTGTATCCTCAAATACCGATGAGTTGGGCAAACTCCTCTCTTCTTGAGGTTTCAAGAGATATGGTCCCTGGGTCTGTTGGAAAGTGACATTCTTTACCTACCGCAGGTTAGGAACCCTGTATGGGGACTGTGTACGAAGATATGAGGCCAGTTTCTCCCATGGGGCTTTATTGACTCTGCAAGTCAAGCTTGACTCCTTAAAGGGAAGCATACCTTTCCAGTCAAAGCCTCAGTAAAGCAACCAGGTTCTCCAATTGTGTCTTGTTGCAACCAGTTTCTCCAATTGTGTGCTGTTGCAAAAGAAAATGGATTCTTATTGCACTGATGCAAACAACTATATGGCCATAAATTAAGAATACTCACAACTAGTTTCCAAATTCTGGAGAAGCCAGGCAGAGAGACAGAGACAAATATACTCCAAATTTTGTTCACAGGAGTATACCTTACTCAATGATTAAAGGCTGTAAATAGCTCAAAATAAGTTTGCTTGACTCTGAAAAACAAAACAAGGATCAGCAATATTTCAAGCAAAAGTCAAAAGATTACCTCAGTTTTGTATTAGTTTAGACCGTTCAGTTAACTCTTGTTTTGCTTGATATTCATAAACATTTCATCTTTTCATGAGTCCTGTATGTTTTTCCTTTGGAATAATGTCACAATCTCCAAAGTTATCAGAAACCTGCATTTCAGAGCACCTGTCAAAGTTCTATAGCTGGTTATAAACCATCTGTTGAAGAGGATCAAAATAAGACAATTATCTGTAAATAACAAAATGTCCAGGGTAGTTATAGTCAGAAACATGATTGACAAATAAATTTGGTTATCTTCGTGGTTTACAATAACTTAATAACCTTAATTATGATTGATAGCGTATACTCAGACATTAGAATTTTAGACATCCCATACAATTTTGGAACATATATTAATATAATTCTCTAAAATCTAACCTGAAGATTAAACATCATTTTGGCAATCCAATGTACTTAAACATGTCAAATAATCCTGTTCACCTCTCTTTTGGATACTCCAGGGGCCCTCTGTAGCATCCAAAAAGCCAGGCATCAGGAAAGACAATTTTGAAACTGAAGTTTGATTTTGGGAAGTCTGTTATGTGTTAGAAATTTAAAACACCTGATGTTATGAAATACAATTCCAGATTGCCATAAATTATTTATTTTGCCAAAATAATGACTCAGAAATTTTAAAAAAGCAAAAAACCTTTTATAACCTTTTACAAATTTTGCTAAAGAGCAGATTAATGCCTTAAGAGTACCTTGTTGTGCTTTTATTTCAATGCTGAATTTATAGAAGACCATATAATAACCATTTGAATGTAGTTAATATGTTCACACATGGAATTTCTTTTGCAAGATTATTATTATTATTTTTTTGAGGCAGAGTTTCAGTCTTTGTTGCCCAGGCTGGAGTGCAATGGCACAATCTCGGCTCACCGCAACCTCTGCCTCCCGGGTTCAAGTGCTTCTCCTGCCTCAGCCTCCCGAGTAGCTGGGATTACAGGCATGTGCCACCACGCCCAGCTAATTTTGTATTTTTAGTGGAGATGGAGTTTCTCCATGTTGGTCAGGCTGGTCTCGAACTCCCGACCTCAGGTGATCCGCCTGCCTTGGCCTCCCAAAGTGCTGGGATTACAGGCATGAGCCACCACACCCGGCCAAGATTAATTTTTATACTCCTTTCATCATTTGATTAAACCTTCAGCTTTACCTTATCTAATTCAAAACAATCCTTCAAGCCTAGGAAAGAATTTACATTTCTACGCCTTCTTATCATCTTTTGCTAAAAACACATCTTACTGTTCTTATACACCTCACATGTAAATCTATTTCCAGTAGTTTCAGTTACATGTTATAATGGTAACTCCCAGCAATTTTTAACTTTTATGTAGAACCTAGTAAGTTGTTATAATTATGTACAAGTCGCAGCCAAGGTTTGACTCCTTCCAGCATAATTAAGGGTGTGGTTTATTCCATATGTCTGTAGGCCTCACCAGTTGTGAAGCAGGCAAGTCAAACTGTTCACAAAAACCAAAAAAGGCAGTTTATAACCTTAAAACATTTAGCAAACCTAATATCTGACCTGCATAATTTAGATCACCTATTTACATTTTGATGACATCTACATTTTACCAATAATCTTTAAGGCTGCTTTTATTCCTCGAGGATTAAAGTCATGTGAACTGAAAGGTACCACAGCTTTTATCTTCCCTTTTAAAAAATATTTGATTCAAGTGCTTATCCTCTTTTAAGTCAATGAAGTAGAGCTCTTTTTTATAGACATCACATACACGACACATATTTAACTACACAAGCAGAAGAAAATGCAGTAGCTGTGAAATTTTTCGTCTGCCAATCTCCTAATTGGATTATTGGCTTCCGGGTGTTGCCTTTTAAGAGACAGGGCCAGAAAAACATGCAGCTTTTAAGGCCTAATAAAATAGGCATGACTGGGAGGCAAAAACAGATTTTGAGAGGGATATATCTGCATTTAATTCCCGGGGTTCCATGAGAAAAACAGGTTTCTTCCCAAAACGGGGTTAGTGGCACCTTGTCTGTTTTTCCCAAGGAGTCCCATGCCCCCAGGAGTTATCTTAGGGCCTCTCATGCATACATTAAGAGTGACAAGGCAAAATGGAGAAAAATAATTCAGTCTACTGAGAAAAAGCCCTTTTCCAGCAAAGAGATCCAAGAAAACAAACAAACAAACAAAAAACGTAAAGACCTTTTAAATATACTTATAACTTGGATATCCACTTTTAATTAAGCTGAGTGCTCTTTGAGAAAAACCTTTTAACTGCCTTATTACCCAACTAGCCGTGCCAAGTGGCCAATATTTCTGGCTTTCAAACTTTGCTAAAGGTGATGTCCCAGGTGCTCAGAGAAAGGAAGATAAAAGGTGGTTCGTGGAGGGGAAGAGAATCAGCAACAGATCATGCAGATATCAAACCAGAAAGGACTTATTCCCTAAGCCAGGATTGAACCCGGCCGCCATTGTAAAATGGTGGAGGCTAAGACAAAACGTTGCCACGTGGTTACAGGTCATGCTCCCTAAAACAAGATGGAGGCCCGCAGCAAGGTTTGCTACTCACCATACAGAAAGTCATGCAAAGCCCACAAGACTGGCTACAGCTTAAGACCAACCTCACAAATCCTTTTTCATAATTAAAACTTTACAGAGAATATAAACAGTGATCCTTATTCCTGGCCTAGTAAAATGTCTTCAAAAAGGAAAAAAAAAACCTCTCACTTAAAAGTTAAATGCTGACAGGGTAGAGAAAAGGAAAAAATAGTTTAAAATGCAGGGTTGGAAAGATGCCTGGGGAAAATACCTCTTACTCTTATACAAATGGGTTCCTCCGACAGGGAGAGAAACTTAATTGCTGTCCACCATTGGGCACCCTTGGGCCATGGGCCATGCACCCCAACCCTGGCTGGGAGGGGAGCGGGGAACCCACCATTCGCCAGTCTATCTCGCAGGTGCCTGCAGCCATTGGGGTGAGGGGGTGTGCAGTTTCCTCTACCCTCAGAAGAAGCCCAAGGACAAAAAGGCTTGGAAGCGAAAGGGGAAAAAGATTTTTTGGTTCACATCTTACCCACCCCTCCTCAAGCCCCACACCTAGGAGCCAAAATGTTGCAGAATTTTGCTCCTTAGTTCAGCTAAAACTGGGCTCTAGCTTGTCAGAAGACCAGGAGAATTATATGTAGACACATTGAAGGGTGGGCAGAGGAGGGTTTTATTGGGCGAAAAGGGAAAAAAACAAAAAAACTCAGCAAAGTGAGGTGGCTTCCTGCTAACAAGTCCCCCACCTCACAGATTGAATCCCAGGTCACCACACAAGAACTGAAGAGCCAGGCTCCTCCCGCTGCCTGTGGCTCCACCCCGTTCCCCCAGTGCACGTGTGGGCAGGCTCAGACGAGGCCCTGGGCAGGTTCCCTCATCTGCACAAAAGCATCTGATGTCAACACTTGTGGGGTGGGTCGGAGGTTCTCTGGGGACACTGTTTTATCTGCCTAGGCATTTGGCTGTCTCATCATGGTATACAAATACTATGGGTTTTGCTGTTTGCCTTAATTCCAGTGATCTCACAACACTGGTGCCCAAAACTAAACATCTCTTTCTTCCAGGAAAATTGATTTCTTACAAAAGAATATTACAAACTGTTACAAGTTTGAGCTTAATTATAAAATCTGTGGAGAGGTGTGGTGTGTAATTCAGATTATTCCAATGAAGCAGTCAAAAAATATCTGCTAAAACATACCCTGGTAAACCAGTGGCTCTCAAATTTGTGGGCTAAAGAATCACCTGATTAGCTGAGCGTGGTGGTGCATACCTGTGGTCCCAGCTACTCAGAGGCTGAGGTGGGAGAATCACCTGAGCCCGGGAGGGCAAGGGTGCAGTGGGCCAAGATCGTACCATTGTACTCCAGTTTGGGTGATGGGAATGAGACCCTGTCTAAAAAAAAAAAATCACCTAGGGTGCTTGTTAAGCTGCAAATTCCTAGGCTCAACTCCAGATATTCTAATGAAAGGAACTGGGGATGGAGCCCAGGATTTTGCATCTCAATCATTTCAGATGATTCTGATGCAGAAGATTCAAAGACCTCTTTTAGAGAAACATTACCCTAAGCAAGGGCAGAGTTGGTCAGTTGCAGAGGTCTTCCAACTCACTTCCCACTCATTCGTTCACTCATTCTTTCCTGAACTTATTAATTCAACAAACATTTATAGTGCCCTATCATTGTACATGGTGATGTGGACTTGGTAATGTAAAGAGACTCGGTTCCTGTCTGGATGGAACTTATATCTAATGACTGATATATATATATGACATTGATGTATGATTGACAGCATCAACTGGTAAGTATTGAATGTGTCCATACATGCCAAAGAGAATGTTGCAGGGATTTAGAAGGAAGTTGTGTCAACGTGGGTTCAAGTGGGCAGGAATGGAGGAGCTATTCTGTGGAGGGGGTAGGACATTGCCTGGGCCCTGACTGTTGAGGAATGAGCAGGATATCGAAGAGAAGGAAACAGCATTAGCTTCATATCGTAATTATTAAGCAAGAACGTTCTTAATATCCATAAGCCTATACTAAAGATAGAGTGGCCAAGCATGCCCAGGATTAAAACTATAATCTCATTAACTACCTTCCAAGGAGAAATAAAGAATAAGAAGTGAGAAGTTCCTGAATCAGCAACATCATCTCCTTGTTTTTTCAATATTCTGATGCCCATTGGACCATTTTTATGCTAATAAGTTGATCAATAGTAGGATGTTTTGATGTGACGTGTTTATATGGTATTGCTTTTCTCCTAGGTCCATATCTATTTCATCCAGCTACTTCCAAAAAGTTAAAAACACTAAACATAAGATCCTTGTAGGATATAAACAATTAGCACTCTAGGAAGATTAGGACTGTTTGAAACCAAGAGAGGCAGGTTAATCTAATTAAAAATTACTTCTTATTTAACAAAGAGATCTGTATTCATTAAGACTTCTACTTAGACATACTATTTTTAGCTATATTTTGCCAATCCTATTACATGTGTGAAAAATAAATAAATCTCGGAAATCTTGGGGCTGCAAAATCACTAAGCTAAAGAGGAAAGTCAAGCTGAGAATTGCTTAGGGACAACCTGCCTCCCACTCTATTCAAAGTCATCCCTCTGCTCACCGAGATAAATGCATATCTGATTGCCTCCCTTGGGAAAAGCTGATCAGAAACTCAAAAGGATGTAACCATTTGTCTCTCATCTACCTGTGACCTAGAAGCCTTCTCCTTACTTCAGTTGTCCTGCCTTTCAGGACAGAACCAGTGTATGTCTTTTATTTATTTATTTATTAGACAGAGTCTCATTCTGTCGCCCAGGCTGGAGTGCAGTGGCCCCTGATCTTGGCTCACTGCAAGCTCCGCCTTCCAGGTTCACGCCATTCTCCTGCCTCAGCCTCCCCAGTAGCTAGGACTACAGGCACCCACCACCATACCCGGCTAATTTTTTATATTTTTTTAGTAGAGATGGGGTTTCATCATGTTAGCCAGGACCAGTGTACATCTTACATGTATTGATTGCTATCTCATGGCTCCCTAGAATGTATAAAAGTAAGCTGTGCCCTGACCACCTTGGGCACATGTCGTGAGGATCTCCTGAGGCTGTGTCACAGGCACATGTCCTCAAGCTTGGCAAAACAAACTTTCTAAATTAACTGAGACCTGGCTCAGATTTTCAGGGTTCACACATGAAAGAAATTTTATGTAATTTATTTCGTGAAGACCAATTTCTAGCTGTCCAGCTACTGTTACATTTCATGTCTTAATCTGTAAAACAGGTTTAATAGCCCCTGACTCAGAGAGGTGTTTGAGGATGAACTGAGAGGACAGTTGTGATTGACTTTTAAAACCCATGCTGGCCGGGCACAGTGGCTCACGCCTGTAATCCCTGCACTTTCGGAGGCTGAGGCAGGTGGATCACGAGGTCAGGAGATCGAGACCAACCTGGCCAACATGGTGAAACCCTGTCTACTAAAAATACAAAAATTATCTGGGCATGGTGGTGTGCACCTGTAGTCCCAGCTACTTGGGAGGCTGAGGCAGGAGAATCACTTGAATCAGGGAGGCGGAGGTTGCAGTGAGCCGAGATGGCACCATTGCACTCCAGCGTGACGACAGAGCGAGACAATGTCTCAAAAAACAACAACATCAACAACAACAAAAAAAAACGACTCACACTAAGAATGAGTGTAAGTTATGAGTTTTCCAGCCATTCTAAAATCTTCCTCGGGATAAAAAGCAGGATCGCAGAGAGCTAGAACATACAATTCTACCTCATCCCAGAACTTGCAAGATATTATATTAACAAGGAAGGCTTCCCAGCCCTTCTTGTTAATATCTTACAAAGCATGCAAGCCAAAATACTGAAGCATTTGTATCCCAGAGTTTCCATGAGTTTGTAGAGAGGTGGTACATCTGGTGGAACAGACTCTGGCGCTAGGCGACTGGGTTTTTAATCTTAGATCCATTCCTTACTATTTACGTGGCTTTGAAGGTACTGAACCTTGATGTGCCTTAGTTTTCTTATCTGTGAAGTAGACATAAAAAGATTGTTGTGATTCAATGAATCCATAAACATCTACACACATAAAGCATTCCTATCTGCCCCTAGAGAAGGTTGTGTTAGCTGTTGTCATGAGCTCTGATGTTAAGGAAGGTACCCAAGGGCATGACAGTTTCAGTTTCATGGAGTGTATAGGAAGACTGGAGATGTATTGATACATACATAAAAATCAAATAGAGGATGGAAAATTAGCAGGACACCATGCCTAGAACAATTATTTATATTGTAACCACCCAAGGGGTTCAACTTGCCCACTGCCTAGACAGAGCTGATAAATCAAGACAGGGGAACTGCAATAGAGAAAGAGTAATTCACACAGAGCCGGCTGTGTGGGAGACCAGGGTTTTGTTATTACTCAAATCAGTCTCCCCGAACATTCGGGGAGCAAAGTTTTTAAAAATAACTTGGTGGGTGGGGGTAAGCCAGTGAGCCAGGAGTGCTGATTGGTCAGAGATGAAATTGGTAAGCCAGTGAGCCAGGAGTGCTGATTGGTCAGAGATGAAATCGGTAAGCCAGTGAGCCAAGGGTGCTGATTGGTCAGAGATGAAATGGCCGTGAGTCAGCTGTCTTCTTGCACTGAGTCAGTTACTGGGTGGGGGCCATAAGAGCAGATGAGCAAGTTTATTGATCTGGGTAGTGTCAGATGATCCATCAAGTGCAGGGCATGCAAAATATCTCATGCACTGATCTTAGGAGCAGTTTAGGGAGGGTCAGAATCTTGTAGCCTCCAGCTGCATGACTCCTAAACCGTAATTTCTAATCTTGTGGCTAATGTTAGTCCTACGAAGGCAATCTAGTCCCCAAGCAAAAAGGAGGTCTGCTTGGGAAAGGGCTGTTACCATCTTTACTTAAACCATAAACTAAGTTTCTCCCAAAGTTAGTTCAGCCTACCCCCAGGAACGAACAAGGATAGCTTGGAGGTTAGAACAAGACAGAGTCTTGCTTATCTCTTTAGATAAGCTTTCACTGTCTGTCATAATTTTCCAAAGGGGGTTTCAATATCATCCCTTATAACAGAAAACATTTAAGACTGTTTGTAAGAATGCATATATAAAATAGTGTGGCACAGGTTTAAAATATGAGAATAGTAGAAGTAGGAACATTAAGGAGGACTGGAGAAGAATCCAGTACAAAAAAAGCATCCCATGGCATCTTATGTACATACAATGGGTGGACCACATGGTTGACTCTAAGCTTTCTAGCAACCATTGCAAAAGGGAAACTCGGTTAGTCAGTCACAAGATAAAAGCAGGCCAATTGTTCAGGAGAAGCACAATTATTCCTTATATTCAGACTGAGGACTAAGCTCTGATTTTTTTCTTATCTTGCACCAATTCTTATCTAAGGGGTCTGGGGAGTCATGCCCTACAAGCCATAAATTCTCGTCAGATGGGTTTTATTTAACCCTACATATTGCTACTTACTTTCCTTTCTGAATCTGGCATAACATTATGTGGCAAAGAAGAAAATCAAAATATTTTACCCCAAAACATGGTTCTTTGCGTATTTTGAAATGGCCCTGTAAAACTGTCCTTTCTGGGTGGTGGGGGGGAAATTTACATCTCTAAAGAATCTCTGTTAACATAGCTAGATCTTTTTCTTCCAGGCCCTCCCAATCCTGAGGAGATTAACTGAGAGTCCAGCACCTTCTAAAGGTCTGAATAGGAAACAGTTGTCATCTGTTGTCTCTAAGGGCAGCCACTATGAGACTTCAAAAGAACCTCAGTCTCCACAATCTTTTATCTGAACCTGAATATTTCCTTTCTATTGATCCCAGGTCTTTAGACAAACTCAACCAATTGGCAGCCAGAAAATGTTTAAGTTTATCTGTAGCCTGAAAGCCCCCATCCCCATTCCTTTTGAATTGTCCCACCTTTCTCCACCAAACCAGTGTATTTCTCAAATGTATTTGATTGATGTCTCATGCCTCCCTAGAATGTATAAAACCGAGCTGCACCCTGACCATCCTGGGCATATGTTCTCAGCACCTCCTGAAGGCTGTGTCACGGGCCATGGTCATTCATATTTGGCTCAGAATAAATATCTTCAGATATTCTACAGAGTTTGACTGTTTTCGTCCACACAAGACCAGAGGGGATGCTCCCAGCCATCACCTTTGAGATGAGGCTGCGTCATGTAATAAACAACATCTCTGATATGTTTTCAGCAGATGAACCAGTGTTTTACAGAACTGCTTCCCACACTGTTAGGTAGATCATCACCGGAAGCCCACTGCAGTAACAGCAGTTCTGTGAGGAGGTGGAACTGTGTGTTCCAGCTCTCTGCGATTCTGCTTTGTATCCTCAGGAAGATTTTAGAATGGCTGGAAAATCCATAATTTATACTCATTCCTACTTGCTTGGGTTTTATAACACAATCACAACTGTCCTCTCATTTCATCCTCAGAAACCTCTCTGAGACAGGGATTATTAAAACTGTTTTACAGATTTAGAAACTGAATCCAAGTGTGGTTGGACAGCTGGAAAATTATGGAACAAGGATTTAATCCTGCTAATTCCCAATCTAATCTTGGGCCATGCCTTTATTACCAAACCTCTTAGAGCCCTCTCTTCCTTGAATTTTTCACTCCATTAAAATCTGATTTTTATATCAACACCTCCGTTGAGATTGCTATTATAAAACTCACAAATGATATTTTTATTGTCAAATCCAGTAACCCCTTTTTTTCAGCCTTTAGAAACAAAATTTGAACCCTAGGTGTGGTGGCTCACACCTGTAATCCTAGCACTTTGGGAGGCCGAAGAGGGAGGACTGCTTGAGGCCAAGAGTTAGAAACCAGCCTGGGCAACATAGCAAGACCCCTGTCTCTACAAAAAATTTAAAAATTAGCCTGGTTTGGTGATGTGCATCTGTGGTCCCAGCTACTTGGGAGGCTGAGGCAGGAGGATTGCTTGAGCCCAGGAGTTTGAGGCTGCAGTGAAGCATGATTGCATCAGTGCACTCCAGCTTGGGCAACAGAGTGAGACCCTGTCTGTTGTTTACAAAGATACTCTTTGGCATTCTGTTTTCCTTTGGCCTTGGGGACTCTTGTTACTCCTGATATCCCTCCCACCTCTCTGATGACTTCTGCTCCTTGGCCTTTATACGCAACTCCTCTCCAGCCCACATCCCAAATGCTGGCGCTCCCTGAGGGTGCATCTTTGGTCCTCTCCTCTTCTTACTCTGTGCAGTTTTCCCAAGAGAGCCAATCCCCTTCCCTGAATTCAGACGCCATCTTGAAAGCACGAATTCCCAGACACGCACAGCAAGGTCACGTCTTCCATGGGGTTGAGTTCCAAGGTCTGAGGCCGAGGTAAAAATAGCATTTTCTCACTATGAGATTTGTTTGTTTTGTTTTGTTTTGTTTCTGATGAAACAGCTGGCTCAGATTTGGAGCCATTATGTAGAAAAACAATGTTTTTTGTTTTTGTTTTTGAGATGGAGTCTCACTCTGTTGTCAGGCTGGAGTGCAGTGGTGCAGTCTTGGCTCACTGCAACCTCTGACTCCCTGGTTCAAGTGATTCTCCTGCCTCAGCCTCCCAAGTAGCTGGGATTACAGCCCGCCATCACGCCCGGCTAAGTTTCGTATTTTTAGTAGAGAGGGGGTTTCACCATGTTGGCCAGGATGGTCTCATCTCCTGACCTCATGATCCGCCCTCCTCGGCCTCCCAAAGTGCTGGGATTACAAGCGTGAGCCACCGCGCCCGGCCAAAACAATGTTTTTTTAAAGGTTGGGATTTTACTCAGAGAGTTCACAATGTGAGAATGCACAAGAGAAATGAGGCCATCGGAGGAACAGCAGATTCACACCTCCCATTTCGTGGTCAGTTTAGAGCACATAGCCATGAAGTGAAATGGCAGAAAAAAAACCTTCAGTAATTTTTCCTTTCTCTCTGTGATTTATTCAGGAGCAAGTCCACACTGTGAATTTGGGTGTTAACGATGACTCTGTTCATCTCCGCCCCATCTCTCGCTGTCTACCTTCTAGGCCTTTCCCGTTTGGTTGTCCTGCAAGATTTCAAATTCAACATGTCCAATATTTCATTTATTGTCTTTACCTCCCATCCCGTTTTAATTAGATGTAGCAAGATGTTCACTCAATATTGTTGCTGTAACAAAGATACTCCCAAATTTTAATGCTTAACCAGTAAAAACTTACTTCTCATCTCATATCCAAAGTAGGTGTTCTAGGGCAGGAGGCAGGAGGTGAAATGGGGGCATGAGAGGTCCGCTCCGCAAAGTTGTTCAAAGGTCCAGACTGAAGACTCTGCCATCTTCCATAGGTGGCTTCCAAGGTTGCCTTGGCGTCACCCGGACAGGAGAAGGGAACAGAAAAGAGGATGCAGAAGGGCATATCTAAATTTTAGCATCACCCTTACGAAGTGTGCGTATGCCAGCAATAAGTCTACGGTATGGGAGGGAGCACAACACCAAACTTTGGTGGACAGTTTGTCTGCCACACTCCCTTCCTCCCTGTTTCTCATCTGTCCTTCCATCAGTATTTCCTGTGTTTTGTTTTTTTCTGTAAAATGGGCCACTAATAGTACTCTCCACAGGAGTTGTTATGAAAATTGAGATAGTGTATGTGAAGCAATTAGAATATGCCTGAGTCATATGGATGCGCCGTAGTGTATGAATGATAATGGCTATTAATTAGCTGCGGGACTTCCTCAGCCACCCAGCTGTGCCAAGCTAGAAACTCTCTTCCCTCATCATCCACCTCCAAACAACAAGTCCTGCTTGTTAATTTAAAAATTCATACATATTTACTTTTCTTTAACTGCAAGTAATAGGCCTGCAGGTCTCTGTCGAGCCACAGATGCAGGTCTCTGTTCCACAGGGTGGGGTTTGTTAAAGTTGTTAAAAATAAGGCCAACTTGAAGAGATACCAAGTGACGTTTAGAAGACGACGAGAGGGTAAAACGGATTACTATGCCCAGAAACGCTTGGTGATGCAGGATAAAAATAAATACAGCACACCCAAATACAGGATGATAGTTTGTGTAACGAACAGAGATATCATTTGTCAGATTGCTTAGGCCATATTGAGGGGGATATGATAGTCTGCGCAGCATATGCACACGAACTGCCAAAATACGGTGTGAAGGTTGGCCTGACAAATTACGCTGCAGCGTATTGTCCTGGACTGCTGCTGACCCACAGGATTCTCAGTAGGTTTGGCATGGACAAGATCTATGAAGGCCAAGTGAAGGTGACTGGCGATGAATACGATGTGGAAAGCATTGATGGTCAGCCAGGTGCCTTTACCTGCTATTTGGATGCAGGCCTTGCCAGAACTACCGCTGGCAATCAAGTTTTTGGCACCCTGAAGGGAGCTGTGGATGGAGGCTTGTCTATCCCTCGCAATACCAAATGATTCCCTGGTTATGATTCTGAAAACAAGGAATTTATTGCAGAAGTACACCAGAAGCACATCAGGGGCCAGAATGTTGCAGATTACATGTGCTACTTAATGGAGGAAGATGAAGATGCTTACAAGAAACAGTTCTTTCAATATATAAAGAACAATGTAACTCCAGACATGATGGAGGAGATACACAAGAAAGCTCATGCTGCTATATGAGAGAATCCAGTCTATGAAAAGAAGCCCAAGAAAGAAGGTTTTAACTTTTTTTTGAGACAGAGTCTCGCACTGTCATCTGGGCTGGAGTACCATGGCGGGATCTCAGCTCACTGCAACCTCCGCCTCCCTGGGTTCAAGTGATTCTCCTACCTCAGCCTCCTGAGTAGCTGGGATTTACAGGCACCCACCACCACGCCCAGCTAATTTTTTGTATTTTTAGTAGAGATGGGGTTTCACTATATTGGCCAGGCTGGTCTTGAACTCCTGACCTTGTGGTCTGTCTGCCTTGGCCTTCCAAAGTGCTGGGATTACAGGTGTGAGCCCCCGCGCCCGGTCAAACCAAACAATTTTCTATGAGGATTTTTCAGATAAAGACAATAAACTTATTGACAGAAAAGAAAAAAAGCAAGTAATAGATGATTCTGATGTGGAAATTATAACATATGGATTTAGATTTTTTTTTTTAAGAAAACAAAAGAAGAAACACTGTCCCTGAGGGATCCGATGTGTTTATGTGGCTTCACTTGCCATCTTGAAAATGGTCCCATATGACTATGGAACTGGGTTGGAGCTCCCAGCTGGAAGGAATCATGAAAAGTCTTCTTGTCCCCTCATTATTTTAAAATTTTTATTGTTTTTTTTAAGACAAGGTCTCTCTCTGTCACCCAGGCTGGAGTGCAGTGGTACCACCATAGCTCACTCAACCTCAACTCCTGGGTTCAAGCAATCCTCCTGCCTCAGCCCCCTGAGTAGCTGGGATTACAGGTAAATGCCACCACACCTGGCTATTTAAAAAAATTTTTGATAGAGATGGGGTCTTGCTGTTGTTGCCCAGGCTGGTCTCAAACTCCTGGGCTCAAGCAATCCTCCCGCCTCGGCTCTCCAAAGTGCTGGGATTACATGCAAGAGCTACTGTGCCGGGCCTGTCCCCTCATTTTAGAACTAAGGAAACTGCAGCCCAGATAATGGCAAAGTGGGGCCTAGGACCCAGGTCTTTTGACTCCAGTCTTGCCTTCCATGATACTCAGCTGCCTTAATTAATTAATTCCACAGAAAGCTAAAACCAACCATACAACTCCTCTCCCTTCCTCCTCACAATTTTTGTTTGGTGTCTGTTAAATGGAAGTGGCTGCTGCATGAATTTCCTCTAATCTCCTATGGTTACCAAACCGATGAAAATTCTAGAGTACTAAGTTCTGATTCTTCTAACCTGGTTACTCTGACCCCAGGCCCAACCATAACCCAGTCCACCTCCCTGCTTTTTATTCTGAGCAGCAGATGGCACTGTGTCCAAGTCTGGAAAGATGCTGTCTGTTTCCAGGGAAAGTTGGGGGAAATGCATTCAATCTTCCTGCTAAACACTCCTATAATTTTCTTGAGGCACTCGCCCTCCTCTTCCCAGGCTTGAGTGTGATCTGTGTGCTAACAGGCACAAGTAACACTGTCAATATGTGTGTAATGTATGTGGTTCCGGACGAGTGGGCTTAGACTGCTAGTCCATCACGAACTTGCTTCCTCTCCTTCCTGTGCACACAGCTGGACTACATTTCTCAGTTTCCAACAGAGTTAGATTTGGCCGTATGTCCAAGTTGTGGCCAATAAAATGCAAGAGGTTGTGCGCCATTTCTAGGCCCCATCTGTAAACTCACACGCTCTTTGCCCTCCACTAGCTGATGTCAGTGCCCAAATTGACCTTGGAGGTCATGGGCTGAAGATGGTGGAATTGCGACCACCTTGGGTCCCTGAATGACTGCATGGAGCAAAGTCCCTGCATTGACTTGGATCTACGTTGGGCTGTTACACAAGTTTAGAATTAAACTGTAATGTGTGAAGCCATTGAAATTTTTTTGCAGTAATTTCCCTACCACAACTGATACACAGATTAACTGATGAAACCCTAATGTCCTATGTGATATTCCTGTAGAAAATATTTCATAGGAAGTATCCATGTTTCTGCACAATAGGGATTTCTTTCTCCATATGAGACTCCAAACAGGTTCCCTGTCAAAAGGGGTTGTAAAGACCTCCCCACTCCAATTGTTTTAGCAGGCAAAGGACTTGATCTGCAGACTCAAAGGCAGGCAGCTAGCAAGGAGAAAGCACAGTAGCTTAGGAAAAAGAGAGACTGTAGCATGTGGTCAAATTTGTTTATGAGTAAAGCAGGTAACCAGGAATTTGCCAAGCATTTTGGAATGAATTAAATCCTTCAGTGAAGATAAAGGTACCGTAATAAGAACTATTCATGTTGGAAGAGTGTCTTTAAAGCTAGCCACCAACAATTTCTCACCTCCCTGTACACACGTTTCTCTTGCATCAAGAGGTGGATTCTGCCTGTAATCTCAGCACTTTGGGAGGCTGAGGCAGGAGGATTGCTTCAGCCCAGCAATTTGAGACCAGCCTAGGCAACATAGCCCTGTCTCTACAATTTTTTTTTTAATTAACCAGGTATGGTGGTGCATGCCTGTAGTCCCAGCTACTCAGGAGGCTGAGATGAGATCACTTTGAGCCCAGGAGTCTGAAGCTGCAGTGAGCTATGATCATACCTCTGCACTCCAGCCTGGGTGACAGAGTGAGACCCTGTCTACAAAAAAAAAAAAGAAGTGGATTCTGTTCCCCACACCCTTGAATCTGGGCTTGAATGTGACTTGCTTTTGCTAACAGAATGCAGCTGAAATGGTGCTGTGCCAGTTCTGGGCGTAGGCAGCTTCCACTCTCTTGAAATCCTGTTGCCTTGCAGAGAGGAAGTCCCTGTACCCTGTGGAGGAAGAGAGGCCTTGATGGAGAGAACCCAGAGGCCAAAGGCCAGCACCACCTGCTTGGCATTAAGTAAGTCTTCATGATGTTTGGGCCCCAGCTGAACTCCACTTGTTTGCAGCTGCCTGCATAACCACAATCCACACCACATGGGGCAGAGCTGTTGATCTGAGGTCAGTGCACCCTCAGAATCATAAGAAATAATAACTCCTTGGCTGGGTGCAGTGGCTCACGCCTGTAATCCCAGCACTTTAGGAGGCCAAGGCGGGTCAATCACCTGAGGTCAGGAGGTTGAGACCAGCCTGGCCAACATGGTGAAACCGCATCTCTACTAAAAATACAAAAATTAGCCACGCGTAGTGAGGGTTACCTGTAATCCCAGCTACTTGGGAGGCCGAAGCAAGAGAATCATTTGAACCAGGAGGCAGAGGTTGCAATGAGCAGAGATCACACCACTGCCCTCCAGCCTGGGCAACAAGAGGGAAATTCTGGCTCAAAAAAGAGAGGAGCAGAGAGGAGGGGAGAGGAGAGAGCCATGTTACCTGACTCGGGTTCCAGGGCTTAACTTTTCCCCTCGGCATAATGAGTTTGAAAGGTCCTGAACTTTCTTTTTCTTTTGACACCTATGACTGAGTCTGTTAGGCCAGGGGGTACCCAAAGATCATCGAGATGCAATTCCTGCCATCATGGAGCTCGTAGCCAAGCAGAGGGAGACAGAAATGCAAACAAACAGCGAGTTTTTGGAATTGCTACTGAGTGGGGGACAAAAAAAATGGAAGCAATCCACTTTGAAAAGCTTAAGCTGAGTTGGGAAGATGAGTAGGATAGGATGAGTAGCTGAGGGGATTGCAGAGGAGGAGCAAAACCAGTTCAGGCAGAGGCAGCTCAAGTACAAAGGCAGCCCGGAGTGGCCTGATGAGGTGATTGGAGGGAATGCAGATTGTTTGCAATAGCTGGGCTGAGAGGAGGCAGACCAGGTGAGGTGTGCCCCTTGCCAAGTTTCCTCTTTTTTTTTTTTTTTTTTTGATACAGAGTCTCTCTCTCTCTCTCTCTGTCACCCAGGCCAGAGTGCAGCGGCCCTATCTCGGCTCACTGCAACCTGCCCCTCCTGGGTTTAAGCAATTCCCCTGTCTCAGCCTCCCGAGTAGCTGGGATTACAGGCATGCACCACCATGCCAGCTAATTTTTGTATTTTTTAGTAGAGATGGGCTTTTGCCATGTTGGCCAGGCTGGTCTTGAACTCCTGACCTCAAGTGATCCACCCACCTCAGCCTGACAAAGTGCTGCGATTACAAGAGTTTCCTCATTCTTAACGTGCATGGCTCACTACTGCCTTGTGATGCTCTGTGCCACATGGTGCCAGATGACACTATGGGCTGTGTACCTTCACCCCTGCCCACATGGCTTATCAGGATCAAACGAGGCAGCTCGTCCATTTTGGGGTGAGCAGTGTACAAATGGAGCATCAGGCTCAGGTTTTAAGTGACAAATGAAACAAATGTGCCCTCCAAGGTTCATCAACATTCCTCACTTGAAGAACTGGTTGTCTTTTGTATCACCTCTGGTTTTCATAAGAAGCTTGAATTTGAGTTCTTTGTACATTTTATTTTATTTTATTATTTTAGAGATGGAGTCTCACTCTGTTGCCCAGGTTGGAGTGCAGTGGTGTGATCTAGCTCACTGCAGCCTCAATCTCCTGGGCTCAAGCAATCCTCCTGAGTAGCTGGGACTATAGGTGCATGCCACCACACTTGGCTAAATTTTAAATTTTTTCATGGAGATGGGGTCTCACTATGTTGCCCAGGCTGGTCTTGAACTCCTGGTCTCAAATGATCTTCCCACCTCAGCCTTCCAAAGTGTTAGGATTACAGGCATGAGCCACTGAGCCCAACCCCTTTGTACTTTTATTACGTAAGTCAGTGGTTGTCACATATTTTCATCTTCCTAATTTTAACCTTCCTGCCTACAAGAACAAAAACAAAAAAGATTATTCTACCTTCAGTCTTTTTAGTTGTTTGCATTAGAGGAAGGAAAAATGACTTTTCTTATTCCTCTGAGGTTGGAGAGGAAAAATCCTTTTTCCTGACCCCACCTCTTGCTTTTTGGGACCAGAAGTATCCAAAACTGGATGTGTAAGAAGATCCATTGGAAGGCAAGAAAAAAAACATTGGAACTTCTAGGTGTGTGTGTGTATGTGTGTGTGTGTGTGTGTGTGTGTGTGTGTGTGTGTGTGTGTGTGTGACAGAGTCTCAATCTACTGCCCAGGCTGGAGTGCAGTGGTGCAATCACAGCTCACTGCAACCTCTGCTTCCTGGGTTCAAGTGATTCTTCTGCCTCAGCCTCAGGTCATGAGCTGGGATTATAGGCATGCACCACCACATCTGGCGAATTTTTGTATTTTTAGTAGAGACAGGGTTTCACCATGCTGGCCAGGCTGGTCTCGAACTCCTGGCTTCAAGTGATCCGCCTGCCTCAGCCTCCCAAAGTGCTGGGATTATAGACATGAGCCACCATGCCCAGGATGCCTGTGGGTTTTTTAATTGGTAGAACTGTTAACATGAGATCAACCCTCAACAAAATTTTATGGGCACAAGACAGTATCGTTAGCGATAGGTGCAGCATTGTACAGCAGATCTCCTTGTGTTTGCTTTCTAATCTAAGCTGCACTTAATATATCGTCCATACATATGAATAAGTTATAACTGAACATATGTATGTAATAATTAATAAAATGGAATAGAATAAAACAACGTACCTGATCAAATCAGGTAAGCAATCAAGAAAGCTTGGAGATGTTTTTAAATTTTGAGATAGGGTCTCGCTCTGTTGCCCAAGCTGGAGTACAGTGGTGCAAGCATAACTCACTGTAGCCTCAAACTCCTGGGCTTGAGCGATCTTCCCGCCTCAGCCTCTGAGTAGCTGGGACTATAGGCACGTGCCACCATACCTGGCTAAATTTTAAATTTTTTGTAGAGACTGAGTCTCACTATGTTGCCCAGGCTGGTCTAGACTGCTGGCTTTAAGCAATCCCTGCTTCTCAGCCTCTCAAAGCGCTGGGATCACAGGTGTGTGCCGCCATGCCCAGCCAAAATTTGGAGATTATACTGCCCTAGTAATTTGCACCTTCTAGGCTTCTCCTGAAGTCCCATAAAAGGGGCCCTCCTATCTTCATGCTTAGATGAGCAGCTGCATACACAACTTCTGCAGAAGGAACCCAGGAGAGGAGTCCTCTGTCATCCCTAGTGCCATAGCATAGTCATGAGCTCCAGGCCATTTCTGCATTGTCCTGTCCAAGCGGAAGTGCTCAGTCCGGAAGTCAGCTCCCTTTCTGGTTCAGAACTGTTCCCCCAATCTGTTGCCTTTATCACAATGCTCCCACCACCCTCCATGCCCCTTCCCTTCACTCCTGGGTCTGGGACGCTGATTCTCACCTGTCTCAGGCATACCACCCCCAGTCCTCCTGCCCCACGCTCTAGCAGTCTGCCCCTCCTTCTACCCCAGCCTTGCCCAGACTTTAGATATTCCCCAGCCTTGGTAACATCTGAAGTCTGTCCTTAATATACCAGTGTCCCACCCGGGGACAGTGTGACTCTGATTTTGAAAGAAGAGTAATTATACTCTTCTGTTACAATAGTAATAGTAGTGACAGCTGCCATCATACCTGCTAGGTGCCCTGCACTTGACGTGATAATCTTCAGTGTGCACGGTGACTTTAAGGTGAATGACACTTTAGAAATGAAACAATTGAAGCTGACAGTTGAAGCCCAAAATCTAAGCTGGGATTTGCACACGAATGACCCACCTGCCACCAAAGCCTCAATCTTCCTGCCATACCTCATTGCTTTTCTGACCACCCCTGCAGGGCCTAGGGTCGTGGGTGTTAGCTTATGCTGAACCAGCGCTGGAGTGGCCTTGCTGGGTGAGAAGTAATCCCTCTTCCTCCCCACTAATTTGCAGGCTGTGACCAAAATAAATAAGATAGAATAGAGTAAGTCGGTTGGAAATACTTGAGGCTCCTTTGGGGGCAGAATCTGAATAATAACTCAAAGGAATCCCAAAGGATTAGAGCTTTGTCTAATCTGCTGATGATATTTAGACACAGAGCTCACACCTATGATCCCAACACTTTGAGTGGCTAAGGTGGAAGGATGGCTTGAGACCAGGAGTTTGAGGCCAGCCTGGGCAACATAGTGAGACCTGGTCTCTACAAAAAAAATTTTTTTAAATTAGCCGGGTGTGGTGGAGTGCACCTGTAGTCTCAGCTACTCAGGAGGCTGGGGTGGGAGGATCACTTGAGCCCAGGAGGTTGAGGCTGCAATGAGCTGTGATCTCACCACTGCACTCCAGCCTGGGTTACAGTGAGACCTCATCTGTATTAAAATAAAAAACAAACTAAAACGTAATGATAAAGAATAAATACAGGCTGGGCGCGGTGGTTCACGCCTGTAATCTAAGCACTTTGGGAGGCTGAGGCGGGTGGATCACAAAGTCAGGAGTTCAAGACCAGCCTGGCCAACATGGTGAAACCCCGTCTCTACTAAAAATACAAAAATTAGCTGGGCATGGTGGCGTGTTCCTCTAATCCTAGCTACTCAGGAGGCTGAGGCAGGAGGATTGCTTGAACCCAGGAGGCGGAGGTTGCAGTGAGCTGAGATCGTGCCACTGTATTCCAGCCTGGGTTATAGGGCGAGACTCCGTCTCAAAAAAAAAAAAAAAAAAAAAAGAATAAATAATCCAGTGATGACTATTACCAGTTTTCTCTAAGCCTAGGCCCAGCCCTGGCCCATGGCCTCAGCCCTTGGATTGATATGGCTTATTTAGGTATTTAAAGGTCGACACCTGCCTCCTGCTGTTTAATTCCCTGCAGTCTGACAGATTCACCAATTACCAAGGAGAAAGCCTGCCTTCCTTGTGCTGTGTGTAAATGAGGCTTCCATCAGCACAGACACACACACAGGCTGCAAATGGACCAGCCCTGCCCCCAATTCCACACCCACGGCCACAGCAAAGAATGCTGTGTTCCCCTTCCCCAGCCCTCACACCCAGGTTAATACCTGGGCTCACAGCCTCAGCCCCACACCCAGGTTAATACCTGGGCTAATTTCATTTTTTCACTTTTTGGGTTTTCAGATGTACACCCCAGCGGAATCAAAATGACAGATTTATGTCACATTGTGGGTTTGGATCAGAAAGCACCCTTGAGCAACACTTTGATTCTGTGTTTCTTCCCGTCCTCAGCTACTTCTTGGAAGAGCAGTGGAGAGAAAAATATTGTTTCTTTTTCTTGGGAAATTGGCAGAGGCATGCTGAAGAAATCAGCTACAGCTGTTCTCCACACCTGGATAAATTTTTAATAAGAACTTAACACACCCGCCCTCCAGAAAGGGTGGTCTGAGGTGTCGATGGTGTTGTCTCTCCCAGGGCTCTTCTGGGCAGCCTTCTCTGTGACCTGGAGAGCGAAGAGTCTATTTCCATCACATTTCAGCTGCCAAACTCCCCTTTAAACGTAAGTAAGCCATTTGATTTCTGCTGCCTTTGTTTTCCCATAAAAGGGCGTTTAAAAAAATATAATTCTCCAAGAAATCTCTAGTTGTTTTGAAATAAAAAGTTACTTTTCGCTCTTCATCTCATTTATTCCAGCTATTCTCTGCTTTGCCCTCCTTGGTTTGTGGAGCCTCATACAAATTCATTAGTACTTTTCCAGCGTCACAGGTTGGAACTGAGGGTTCCAAAGAGCAAAATGCATTTTGGCTGAAGCAGAGCCAGGAATCCATGTTGTTTGCCATTGGCGCCATCCAATTCACTTGTTCTGAATAAGGGAATAAAGTTAATATTTATTCCCTTCATGATTCTTGTATTTCAAGAAAAAAAAGTGCTCTACAGGCTTTTTCCCCCCAGCAGGTACTGATTGATTTGTTTGAATTTTGAGCTGCAATCAAGGATGGAGAATCTAACTGATCTCCTTATTCACCAAATATTTATGATTTGTGCATAGAATATTGACTAATCTCTAATGTGCAGTCTTCTTGATGAAAAGGGAAGGGATAGCTGGGGCTCGTTATTGTGTCTCTTCAGTGGATTAGAGAGATTAGATGCCTAAGATGTCCCAAAGCCTGTATCGAGTCAGGTGATCTGATCCTCATTCCCATGAACAACTTAGGAGGCCTCCCTCTCCAGTTGTGACACTTGGAATTTGTATGCTCATCTTCATCATGACTATGTAGCCAACTCTTGGTGTTGTGCAATGAAAAATGGAAAATATAAGCCAGATGATTAAAAAAAAGACCACGTGGCTCTAGGTATGATGAAAGACAGGCATATGTTTTCAGACACAATCTCCCTCTCTCTTACACACACTCCTTACTCTTAAATATTTGGATTTTTTACTTTACATCTAATTTTAATCCCTTCTCAGCTGGCACCATACTATTGATGACCAGGGGACCCACAGGGACAGCTAGCGACCTGCCAAGTTGACTCATCTGCTTGTGGAGGTAACACTTAGGAAACACCTTCAAGTTCCTGTCTGCAGTGGGTGTTGCCCAAAGTGAATATCATAGAAACCTCCCAATTATATGAGAGTCTCCATCTAAAAGTGAATGGCATCAATAGGAAAGTAGCATTTTCTGAATAGGTAACAGAATCCGTAAAGTGCAAGTGTAAAAGGAGAATAAAAACTTGGGACCCTGGCCAGGTGCAGTGGCTCACACCTGTAATCCCAGCACTTTGGGAGGCCGAGGTGGGCAGATCACAAGGTCAGGAAATCAAGACTGTCCTGGCCAACATGGTGAAACCCCGTCTCTAGTAAAAATACAAAAAAATTAGCCAGGTGTGGTGGTGCGCACCTGTAGTCCCTGCTACTAGGGAGGCTGAGGCAGGAGAATTGCTTGAACCTGGGAGGCAGAGGCTGCAGTGAGCTGAGATCGCGCCACTGCACTCCAGTCTGGCAACAGAGCGAGACTCCGTCTAAAAAAAAATAATTGGGACCTCAATTCACTCTGCCAAAAGAAAAAAAATTAAGCTTAAAGCAGAGTCATGCAAGAAGCTACCTTTTCTTTTGTTCCTAAGATAGCTATGGATAAAATACAAAACATCCCCGCAGATAGTTACTCAATTCACCTTACATTGCGCGTGAGGTGCATACATAATTGACTATTCCCCTACTTGCTCCTTTTCTCTTGCAACGTGTGGATTCAGTCATGTGACCATATCCTTCCTCCTTTCCCTCCAGCCTGCTTTCCCCCTTTAAGCCCTCAAAATCGTCTTTGGAGAAAGGCAGA
Organism: Homo sapiens; assembly: GCF_000001405.40. Taxonomy (NCBI): domain Eukaryota; kingdom Metazoa; phylum Chordata; class Mammalia; order Primates; family Hominidae; genus Homo; species Homo sapiens. The sequence continues at coordinate 13,047,899 of NC_000010.11, read as the reverse complement.
GACCACAGACTGTTTCTGGGACTCCATGTTTATTTCTTCCGGCGCGTCCCTAACCTTGGCAAAATAAACTTCTAAGTTGATTGAGACCTGTCTCAGATGCTTTTTGGTTCACACAAGAAAACAAACCGATCTCAGGCCTTAGTCCCTCTGGAGAGCTTTAGAGAGGCCCATGGCTAACAGGAATCACCCAGGTCTCATAGGGAGGGCACGGATGGAGATCCAGCTTGCAGTTGCCAGGACCACACTGGGCTCCGGAGCAGATTACTGAAGTCTCTTTATATGTACCCAGGCATTCTGTGTGAAAGAAGGAGGCGGGAGGGGAGAGCCAGGTTAGTTTGGGAAATTTTGCATTACACAAAATTAAGCAGGTTTCTTTAGTCTTTGCTATGCAGATTTTATTGTGAATCTGTAAGAGGCAGAAAGAATAGAAAGCTTTCCCCAAACTTTTTGTCCTGAGAATCCCTTTTTCCTGGGGATCCCTAACATTTCAAAGGGCACTGTGATCCACAAAGCCCAGGCTGGAGAGAGCCACCCGGAGATGTCAAGGAAGCTCCAGCTGCCGGTCTGTCACCAGCTCCATGGAGACTCACCTACCAGTTTAATGGGGACTTTTCAAACCCATGGGCTTCAAATTTGGGTATGCCCATCTTCAGGGTCACAAGAGGACTTTCTAAGGCTACACAGGTACATGGTTTTTGTTCTTTTTAAATTCTGGGTCCACAATTTCCATGCGTTCTTTCCTATAATTGTTCTGGTGAGAACTGAATGGCGATGAGCCATTGCCGCTAAATGGAGTCTCTCTGTTCTGTCTCCTCTTTCGTAACAGCTGCTTCATAAATGCAAAACATCCCTCACCCTCTCTCATCTTACTAGGGTGCATTGCCCCAGGGTGAACAGATATCTGGGTTGCCAGACAAATTGCTGGATTGGCTTCTTCTTTTTTTTTTTTTTTAGAAAGTGAATGATTCTATTGACTAAGTAATAAATCTTTTTGCAGATCAGATGATTTCTAATTCTTTGCTTTCATGAAATTTGAGAGGAGACCTAATTGAGTTGTCAGAGAATTAGATCATTAAATATTTTCGATGATAGATCACTGTATCTGAAGGAGCTTGAGTAATAATTGATACTGCTTGATAAAATTGCTTCCATTCTTGTCTACTTCTTCTTCTTCTTCTTTTTTTTTTTTTTTGAGACGGAGTTTCGCTCTTGTTGCCCAGGCGGGAGTGCAATGGCCCGGTCTCAGCTTACTGCAACCTCCGCCTCCCAGGTTCAAGCAATTCTCCTGCCTCAGCCTCCTGAGTAGCTGGGATTACAGGCATGCCCCACCACACCTGGCTAATTTTTTTTTGTATTTTTAGTAGAGATGGGGTTTCACCACATTGGCCAGGCTGGTCTTGAACTCCTGACATCAGGTGATCCACCTCGGCCTCCCAAAGTGCTGGGATTACAGGCATGAGCCACCGCACCTGGCCTTTTTTTTTTTCTTTTTTTGAGACAGGGTCTTGCTCTGTTGCCCAGGCTGGAATGAAGTGACGCGATCACGGCTCACTGCAGCCTCATACTCCTGGGCTCAAGGGATGCTCCCAACTCAGCCTCCCTAGCAACTGGGACTACAGGTGTGAGTCATCATGCCCAGCTAATGTTTTTATTTGTTGTAGAGATGAGGTCTCACTATGTTGCCCAAGCTGGTCTCTAACTCCTGGGCTGAAGCAATCCTCCTGCCTTGGCCTCCCAAGGTGCTGGGATTACAGGAATGAGCAACCATGCCCAGCTTATGTACTTCTTTTTTTGTTTTGTTTTGTTTTGGAGATGGAGTCTCACTCTGTCACCCAGGCTGGAGTCCAGTGGCACGATCTCAGCTTACTGCAACCTCTGCCTCCTGGGGTTCAAGTGCTTCTCCTGCCTCAGCCTTCCTGAGTAGCTGGGATTTCAGGTGCATGCCACCGCACCCGGCTAATTTTTGTATTTTTCCTAGAGATGGGGTTTCACCAACTTGGCCTGGCTGGTCTTGAACTCTTGACCTCATGATCCCCCCATCTCGGCCTCCCAAAGTGCTGGGATTACAGGCGTGAGCTGCTGCTCCTGGCCGCTTATATACTTCTTTACATGAAAAAAGTTTTATAGTGCTTACGGTAGCAGTAGCAACAATAATTGTAAAATGAGAAAAATGTTGATGAGGACCCTGCCTATTTTAGTAAGAAGTGGAATGAAGAATAGTTTCCCCAATAAAATTCTAATTTTTATGTTATGTATATATATTTTGTTTGTTTGTTTGTTTTGAGGCAGAGTCTTGCTCTGTTGCCCAGGCTGGAGTACGGTGGTGCAATCTTGGCTGACTGCAACCCCTGTCTCCCAGGTTCAAGCGATTCTCCTGCCTCAGCCTCTTGAGTAGCTGGGTCTACAGGTGCGTGGCCTTATTTTTTGTATTTTTAGTAGAGACAGGGTTTCACTTTGTTAGCCAGGATGGTGCCCTTGTGATCCGCCTGCCTTGACCTCACAAAGTGCTGCGATTACAGGCATGAGCCACCGCGCCCAGCCAATAATTTCTTAAAAATATATTTGTTATTTTGATAAATTGCATATTAACACTACCTATAATGGTAATTCAGTCCAGAGAGATTTCTTTGATACCTGGAGCCATATGGTCACAGAAAATTTTAAAAATTAATTTCAATTTATATGCATGCTTTTGTCGTAGATAATTATGAGTGGTCAATAAAAGAATTTCAGGCATTGAATATATCACATTAACATAATATAATGTAGGGAAAGTAGAATGGAAATACAAGTTTAAGCAGTAAATGGAGTAATTTTTTGCCTGTTAAAGATGAGCTTGTTCGTGTATGTTTAAATTGAATTATGTTTGATATGAAATTGCTATGGCATTTAGATTCCATGGGAAACATTGTTAGAAGTCATGTAAGAGCTTTCCTTTTAAATCATAGATGACACAAACAAATGGAAAAACTTCCAATGCTCATGAATTGGAAGACTCGATATGTTAAATGGCCATACTGCCCAAAGCAATCTACAGATTCAACACTATTTCTATTAAACTGCCAATGTCATTTTTTTCACAAAATTAGAAAAAAAAGCTACTCTAAAATTTATATGGAACCAAAACAGAGACATCACATTATTAGACTTCAAACTATAATATAAAGCTGCATAGTACTGGTACAAAAACAAACACATAGACCAATGGAACCGAATAGAGAACCCAGAAATAAGGCCACACACCTGCAGCCATCTGATCTTCAACAAAGTCAACAAAAATAAGCAATGGGGAAAGGACTCCCTATTCAATAAATGGTGCTGGGATAGCTGGCTGTCCACATGCAGAAGAATGAAACTGGATCCTTACCCTTCATGTAGAAAAATTAACTCAAGATGGATTAAGGATTTAAACGTAAGACCTTAAATGAAAAGTCCTAGAAGAAAACCTAGGAAACACCATTCTGGACATTGGTCTTAGGAAAGAATTTATGACAAAGTCCTCAAAAGCAATTGCAACAAGACCAAAAATTGACAAATGGGATCCAATTAAAGGGCTTCTGCAAAGCCAAATAAACTATTAACATAATAAACAGACAACCTACGGAATGGGAGGATATTCACAAACTATGCATCTGACAAAGGCCTAATATCCGGAATCTATAAGGAACTTAAACAATTCAACAAGCAAGAAACAATAACCTTATTAGAATCGGGCAAAAGACATGGGCAGACACTTCTCAAAAGAAGCTGTACAAATGGCCAACAAACATATGAAAAAATGGTCAACATCACTAATCATCAGAGAAATGCAAATCAAAACTACAATGAGATACCATCTCACACCAGTCAGAATGGCTATTATTAAAAAGTCAAAAAAACAACAGATGCTAGTGAGGCTTCAGAGAAAAGGGAATGCTTATTTACTGTTGATGAGGATGTAAATTAGTTCAGCTGTGGTGGAAAGCAGTTTGGAGAGTTCTCAAATAACTTAAAATAGAACTACTATTCAACCCAACAATCCCATTACTGGGTGTATATCCAAAGGAAAATAAATCATTCCACCAAAAAGTTACCTGCAATCATATGTTCATCACAAGCAATATTGACAATAGCAAAGACATGGAATCAACCTAAGTACCCATCAATGCTGTACTGGATAAAGAAAATGTGGTACATATGCACCAGGGAATACTACGCAGCCAGGAAAAAGAATGAAATCATGTCCTTTGCAGCAACGTGGGTGGAGATCTTTGTCTTTATGTCTTTATTGTTGTGTCTTTTTTATTTTTATTTTATTTTATTTTTTGAGACAAAGTCTCACTCTGTCCCCCCTGGCTGGAATGCAGTGGTGTGATCACAGCTCACTGCAACCTCCACCTCCTGGGTTCAGGCGATTCTCCTGCCTCAGCCTCTCGAGTAGCTGCGACTACAGGCGCACATCACCACGCCTGGCTAAGTTTTGTTTTTTTAGTAGAAGCAGGTTTTCACCATGTTGGTCAGGCTGGTCTCAAACTCCTGACCTCAAATGACCCACCTACCTCAGCCTCCCAAAGTAGCTGGGATTACAGGCGTGAGCCACCATGCCCAGCTTATCTTTGTCTTTGTCTTTGCTTTCATCTTTATGTCTCATGGACATAAGGATGGTAATAGTAGACACTGGGGGCTCCTGGGTCAGGGAGAGGGAGAGGGATTAGGCTTGAAAAACTATTGAGTACTGTGCTTACTACCTGGATGACAGGATCACTTGTGTCCCAAACCTCAGTGTCACACAAATATACCCATATAACAAACCTGACATGTACCCCCTAAGCCTAAAATAAAAATTGAAATTATTTTTTAAAAGTTTTCCTTTTAAATGTTCAATATTTGCAATTACCAGAAGTTATATCCTTTCTGTGTAAACTTATGAAGGAACATTTGAGATGTTAACTTAAATAGGTGTGAGAAGCCATGGAGTTTTCTTTTTCTTTTCTTTTTTTTTTTTTTTTTTTTTGAGACAGTCTCCCTCTGTCGCCCAGGCTGGAGTGCAGTGGCGCCATCTCGGCTCACTGCAAGCTCCACCTCCCAGGTTCGCGCCATTCTCCTGCCTCAGCCTCCCGGGTAGCTGGGACTACAGGCGCCCGCCACCACACCCGGCTAATTTTTTTGTATTTTTAGTAGAGACAGGGTTTCACCATGTTAGCCAGGATGGTCTCGATCTCCTGACCTCGTGATCCGCCCACCTCAGCCTCCCAAAGTGCTGAGATTACAGGTGTGAGCCACCACGCCCGGCTGAGAAGCCATGGAGTTTTCGACCATTATTTTAGAAGGTAACCAAGCAGGAAGTTGAAGTTCTCTGCATCCAACAGCACATAAGAAGAATTTAAAAATAGGTATTCGGAGATGATGACAATATTTGGCTTCAACCAGGCTTTGAGCTAGTCCCACATTGCTTTCATACCGGATAACCAACCTCATCAACTGGGCCATGGGACCACCTTATGGAAACTGTCCTGTGGCGGTCTCCCGCCCCTCATTCCCTGACTCATTCTTGCCTCAAATCCCAGAAAGCCTCAGAAAGTAGAAGGTGAAATGTTGGTCCTAGTTCCCAAGCCGTAGTCCACCCACCAACCATCTCAACAATTAGCAATGATTTGCAGATTTGCAGTTTTCAAAGTGTTTTCCTCTCCTTTGTCTCCTCACTGCTACCTGCTGTGATAGGTGAAGAAATTGGAGCTCAGAGGATTTCAGTGATTTGCACGGGATCACACAGCAGGAAACGGCATCGTTAATATTTGGATCCAGGCTATTGGTCTTCAAACTCTATGTTTCATCCACGACATCTCATTGTTTCTGGAGAGTCTTCTTTTAGACAGAGGCCAAAGCGTCTGGGATCTCCTGAGTCTGGGGAGCCCATTCAGCACTCTTAGGGAGATGGTGGTGAGTGGGTGTCCCTGGTCTCTTCTGGGAGCCTCCATCAAGATTCTCTGCCAGGGCTGGGCACGGTGGCTCACACCTGTAATCCCAGCACTTTGGTAGGTTGAGGCAGGTGGATCACTTGCGGTCAGGAGTTCGAGACCAGCCTGGCCAACCCTGGTCTCTTCTGGGAGCCTCCATCAAGATTCGCTGCCAGGGCTGGGCATGGTGGTTCACACCTGTAATCCCAGCACTTTGGGAGGTTGAGGCAGGTGGATCACTTGAGGTCAGGAGTTCGAGACCAGCCTGGCCACCAGCTGGGCATGGTGGCATGCCCCTGTAGTCCCAGCTACTCGGGAGACTGAGGCAGGAGAATCACTTGAACTGGGAGGTGGAGGTTGCAGTCAGCCGAGATTGCACCATTGCACTCCAGCCTGGGCGACAGAGTGAGACTCTGGCTCAAAAAAAAAAAAAAAAAAAAAAAAAAAAAAAAAAAAAAATTATCTGCCAGACACTTGGAGTGAACTTACACACAGCGAGGGGGAAATCAACACATACAGATACTTAGTGTGGAACAAGATATCACGGTGTGGAGCCAAGACGAGTATAAATAAACATTCACATAAAAATGTGCAAGATTTGCCGTGAGTGGTGTTTTAGTCTGTATAGTTATACCAGAAATAAGAATTGGTCGGATGTCAAAATACTACTCATCTAGCTTTAGTTTTTATTTTTAATTGAAGACAAAGGCTTTTAGAAACCAAGAGAAATACTAAATCTGTTTCAACTTACCTCAAAGGGCCCAGATGAATAGGTACTTCTGGCTGGCTAAGTTGAATCTATGCTTTGGGTGTTATTTTTGAGAACTTTAGAGGAGAAATTTTTTTTCTTAGCGCACTTACTAAAAAGGCTGCTAGACGTACATATTGGAAAAATAATTACTCAGTGTTTGGGACTTAATTTTTTTGGTTCCTCAGCATGAGGTATAATCATTTGAGGCTGAGCCCTTGAGAACATTAAAAGTCAAATGAAATTTCTAAAAAACAAGAAAGATTCTCAAGGTCTTAAAAGAGTAAATCTATAGGTGAGATACACAATAAATAATTTGCATCCACTTAGTGCATACAGGAAATAATTTACTAGATAGGACTCCAGCATCGTACATAATACAAGGTCACCTTCAAAGGCTACCTGAAAGTTTGGGTATGCAGGTGGCCAGTTTAGTAACCTGGAATTTATCTTACCTGTCCTCATTGGTTGGCTCCAGCTGTTTACTTTGTGTGTGTGTGTGTGTGTGTGTGTGTGTGTGTGTGTGTGACAGAGTTTTGCTCTTGTTGCCCAGGCTACAGTGCAGTGGCATAGTTTCAGCTCACTGTAACCTCTGCCTCCCAGGTTCAAGCGATTCTCCTGCCTCAGCTTCCTGAGTAGCTGGGATTACAGGCGTGCACCACCATGCCCAGCTAATTTTGTGTTTTTGGTAGAGATGGGGTTTTACCATGTTGGTCAGGCTGACCTCAGGTAATCCACCTGCCTTGGCCTCCTAAAGTGCTGGGATTACAGGCGCGAGCCACCGCATCTAGCCCCAGCTGTTTACTTTTGCGGATGACTCACGTTGCTGGTTGTTCAACCTCCACTGATAGATAAGGCTCACTTCCTTTTGTCACAGCCTATCTTGGGCTGGCAAACGTGTTAACATAGGGG